>NT_167250.2:300000-586476 GCF_000001405.40 Homo sapiens | reverse complement strand
CAGAGTATAAGAATTCCTTTTCCATACAACCTTGCCAACATCATGATATTTTTTGAGTTTTTAATAATGGCCATTCTGACCGGTGTGCGATGTTATCTCATTGTGGTTTTGATTTGAATTTCTCTAATGATGTGTGATGTTCAACTTTTTTTCTTCATATGATGGTTAGCCGCAGGTAGTTCTTCTTTTAAAAAACATAACAATTTTCTAAATACTTGAACTTTTCATTGATAATCTTATTTTTCTAAGGTATTATTTTGGAAAATAATGGTTTCTTATATACCTAAATCATTAAAGTTCAGAAAATAAACTGTGGGTATTCTTTTTACAGCGGTCTTTGAATAGATTTATTTACTATCATCCCTTGATCTCATTTCTACTCTTTTTACAGTTCTAACATTTTATAACTTTTGAGTTCCACTCGTGGAATAAGATATTCTCTTTACTGTAACAGGTTCTTTGGAGATTTGATGGGAATAAACCAGATGCCTTAGGTCTCAATACTCGGCTGTACAGGTGGATACCCCAGAATGACCTTCTAGGTAAAACTCTGGTGAACAAATACTGGATATATTAGTAACAGCGTATTAGAGTGTTAATAGTTCATCATGAAACAAGCTTATTGAATATTTGTTAAGGAAAACAAAATGTAACTTCTTTATATTTATTTTCCAGTCCTAGGGGGAAAAATTAGCTATAATTGTTAGCATTTTATGATATACACTCACATTCTTCACGGTCAGAATCAGAGAGAATCTTTATTTCAGGTGTTATTATATCTCACAGAATTTTACAATATCTTCCCGGGCTGTCCCTCTGTCTCCTATTTCTACAGCTTTACACCTGTTTTTTCCTCTCCTGCAGGGTTATTTCAAATGCCACTAAATATAATAGCTCTTCTATCACCAGTGACTCTGTATTTTCTGGAGGACTAAATTCCTAATCTTAATCTTAAAGTAATGACACATTTCATGATGAAGTGTGACCTGTCTCTCCTCAATCCTAGCACCACCACCAAGCCACTGCCTGCTGCCTTGCACACCCCACATATCACACTCTGTGACTGTACTTAGAATAACACTTCATTTCATGCCCATCTCTTTGCTGTCCTCTTTTGTGCACATTTTTAAAATCTAGAATGCCCTTTTTCATTAGTCCAACTGGAAATCTTGTATTAAGTTTTGCAGTCTGAAGTCACACACACCATATAGCCTTCAGTTACATCTCCAACACAAGTACCTGTTTTTTCCTCTGAAGTCTGAAAAGTAATAGCAAATTAGTTCAATGTGTAATCTAGAAAACACTGTCACTTTCAGAGCCTTTCATTGTGCATCTCATTTTATTCCTATGAATAATTTTGCTAACATTCATCCAATCCTAGGTCATCCAAAAACCAGAGCTTTTATAACTCATGGTGGAGCCAATGGCATCTACGAGACAATCTACCATGGGATCCCTATGGTGGGCATTCCATTGTTTTTTGATCAATCTGATAACATTGCTCACATGAAGGCCAAGGGAACAGCTGTTAGAGTGGACTTCAACACAATGTCGAGTACAGACCTGCTGAATGCACTGAAGACAGTAATTAATGATCCTTCGTGAGTAGAACAATATTTTTCACTAGGTGGTATTAATAGATAGTTTTTTTGTCAGTAGTTAGCATAAGTTTCATCCTTTTTATGAGAGTAATTTTGAAAGCATTTAAATGATTTAACCAATCCAAAATCTGCTTTTATTTTTTATGTTATTTAAAAATTGTATTTGAACCCCATACATCTAGTGAGTAACCAGTTAGTGAAACAATTTTCTAAACAAAAATAATTTTAAAATGATATAGATAATATAAAAAAATTTCTTAAAAATTTGACATAATGAATCCATAGTAGAAAGGAAGAATAAACTTGAAATAATATAATAAAATGTTTTAATTAAATATCTAAAATGTCTCAGAATATAACTATTTTCTTGCTGAAAAATTAATTTTTATTATCATTATTGTAACAGACTTGAAAATGAGATTTAATTTTGATAGCATAAAACCCATCTATTTATGGCAAAAATTCCAAATATTTTTACTATGTTACAGAGTCATTAAGTCATCACCAGTATATAAGTTTGGAACATTTTTATCAACACAAAAGAAACTGCAATGACACCAAAATCACCTCCCATGACTGCCTAGTCATAGTCTAACACCAATTTGTTTTCTTTCTCTATAGATTATTCTCTCTAGATATTTCATATAAATGGAATCATACAGTCTAGGGTACTGTGTAAATGACATTTCACCTAGCCGAATTTTTTGTTGTTTTTTTTTATGGTTTTTAGTTTAATTCATGTTGTTGTGTGTTTTAATATTTAATTTCCTTTTACACTTGTATAATATTTTGTAGTATGGATACGTCATAATTTAGTTGTTCATTTATCAGTTCATTGGCCTTTTGATTGTTTCCAATTGAGGCTACTATGAATATTGCTACACATGTTTTTGCATAAATATGTTTTCCTTTCTCTTGGGTTGATACTATAAGTGGAATTGCTGGCTCATGTGAGAACTGTATGTTTATGAAGAACTGCTAAACTGTTTTCCAAAGTACTTGTTCCATTCATCACTACCACCAGCAGTACAACATGGTTCCAATTCCTCCACACTGTTGCCAAACCTCTTATTATCTGTCTTTTTCTTACATACTTCTTAGTGCATATAAAATGATCTCTCATCTTCGTCTTGGATAGCATTTTCATTACTGCTAAAGATGTTGAGAATCTTTATATGTGCTTATTGATCATTCATATATCTTCTTAGAAAATATGTCTACTCCAATCCTTGGAACATTTTTAACTTTGCTATTAGTCTTACTATTAAGTTTTAAGAACTATTTATATATTATGGGTCAAGTCAGATATATAATTTTTAAATATTTTGTCCCATTCTGGGTGACCAAACTTTTTACTTTTTGATGATGGTCTTTGAAGCACAAAAAATATAATTTTAAGTTAAATTTTAATAATTGATTTTATTCACACCCCAAAGATAACAATGTGCAAAATTCCTTGTGGAGTCCAGCTACCATCAATTCCGCATTTATAACTACTCTCAATAAAGTTTTTGTGTAAGGAGGGTATCATCTAAAGGAATACTTTAAAAATATTGTATCACAAAGAAAATAGAAGGATAATGAATGATCAAAATACCTTTAAAGAAGATGGGAAATAATTGAAAAGAAACAAAAACCAGCTTGGACAAATAGAAAAGAAATATAAAACAAAGTGGTAGATTTAAATGTGATTATACAAATACTTTCACTCAATCTAAACAGACTTTTAAAAAAAGAGCAAATAATGAGTAAGAACATAAAACATTTGAAGAACACAATTAACAAATGGAATCTTATAATGTAAAATGATAAACACACACATATGTACATATACAATACACGTATAGGTATCGTATATATCAACTGGAAGACACATTTTCCTAGAGCATGTCGAATAGTTAATAGTCGTTTGAAGTGGCATGTGGTGGGAAATAAATCAAGACTTAGGAAATATAAAAAGATTCAATATCATAAAGACTATATGATCCAGCCATAGTGGAAGTAAGGGATGTTATAAATACTATTACTAAAATATCTTTAAATTTTGGAAATTAACAAAATACACTTCAAAAAAATTTAAAGTCAAGAAGTAAATCATAATTATGCATGCACTTTTATCTCAGCAATTCTACTCTCAATTATATACACAACAGATATGTATAAATATATAAATCTAATGGTATATGGAAGAGTGTTCATGACAGAATTATCAACAGTGTCCAAAAATCGTTAGCAACAGAAATATATATTCAACATAAAATGAAGACATAGTTTGTGCTTTATCAATCAACAAAATATTACACAGCAATGGAATTACCCAAGAACTGCTATATTAAAAAAAACAGACACTAAGGAGTACATATTATATAATTCAATTACATAAACAAGCAAAACTAGTGCTGCTATTCAAAGTCAGGCTAATCTTTAGTTGGTGGACAAAAGTGGTGACTAAATGGTTCAGAAAAAGAGAGCTATTCTAGGCAGGTTGTGATATCCTATACCATGAACTGAACAATAAGTAAATTGGTATCTTCGCCTCAAGATAATGTTCAAGAGGATCTTCCATTTTTGAACTATTCACTTAGTGCAAGTATATTTATCTTTTGTATTTTATATTTAAATGTATATTTTATGAGATATATAAATCATTTTAAAAATTCTAGGAATCAGATAGAAAATAAGCACAGTAAACAGAGAAAATCCTAGAGGTTCCATCAGAGTGTGGCCAGTAAAAGCCTCTCTTAGAGGTAACACTTAGAGGGAAGCTACAACAAGAGAGAGAAGCATGCCTTGGGTGTAGCAAGAAAGAATACTCCAAGAGCGGGAGAGAAGGGATAAAATGTGTAAAGTGCTAAGATGAGAACACCTTTGGAAGCTTAAAGGAAAATAGTAGGCCAATCTAGAAGACAGTGTGCAGGGAAAAAGTGTTAGAAAAAGATCTTGCCAGTGTCTAACAATGTAGGGTTCTGTAGACCAAATAATAGAGTTGGATTTTTTTCTGAAAATAATGAGAAGCCAGGCAAAAATCTTAATCAGGAGAGTGCCATAATCTCACTTTAATTGCAAAACATCATTCTGGCTACAGGGTAGGAAACAGTAGGAGAAAAAAGAGTAATCTAGAAGCAAAGTGACTAGCTATGAGGCATGTCACCCACCATGATAAAATTCCTTTTTAGGACCTGAGAGATGATAATTCTCAGATTGCATTTTCACATCTTTCTTATAGCACTTAAAATGGCTCATGATGTTGAGCACATTCTAATATGCCTGTTTTAGAACTAATAGTGTAATGTGGAATGTGTTCATAATACAAAGGATAAATGCTTAAGGAATGAGTATCTTATTTTCCATGATGTGATTATTTCACATTGTATCAAAACATCTCATATACCCCATAAATATGTACACTTAATATGGACCCACAAAAACTTAAAATTAAAAAATTAAAAACAAATTAAAAATGCCTCATACTTTCTCTGCTTGAAAAAATAACTTTCTCACCTGACCTTCCTTTTCTACTTTAAAAATATTTGTTAATGAGAAAAGTCCAATTTAAAAGCCAAACTTTCTATGATGACTCAAATTAAAATACATAAATTCTATGTCAATTCTTTGACATTTACTTTGAATTATTTGACACTTTAAATGCCTTTCATAGACTTGATATGTACAGGCAAATTAACTTACTTTCAGTGTTGGTATCTTTATTTTTATCCTTCAGATATAAAGAGAATATTATGAAATCATCAAGAATTCATCATGATCAACCAGTGAAGCCCTTGGATCGAGCAGTCTTCTGGATTGAATTTGTCATGCGCCACAAAGGAGCCAAACACCTTCGAGTTGCAGCCCATGACCTCACCTGGTTCCAGTACCACTCTTTGGATGTGATTGGGTTCCTGCTGGCCTGTGTGGCAACTGTGCTATTTATCATCACAAAGTGTTGTCTGTTTTGTTTCTGGAAGTTCGCTAGAAAAGGAAAGAAAGGAAAAAGGGATTAGTTAAATCTGAGATTTGAAGCTGGAAAACCTGATAGATAGGGATACTTCAGTTGATTCCAGCAATAAATATTGTGATGCAAGATTTCTTTCTTCCTGTGACAAAAAAAAAAAAATCTTTTCGAAATCTACCTTGTCAAGTAAAAATTTGTTTTTCAGAGATTTACCACCCAGTTAATGGTTAGAAATATTTTGTGGCAATGAAGAAAACACTAGGGAAAATAAAAAATAACATAAAGCCGTACAAGCTCATATTGAAATTTGTTGCACTTATATTGAAATTTGTTGTTCTAATTCACAAGTTACATGAAAAAAATTTACTCAGCTTAACTATATTTCACACATTTTACATAAACACAAGAACATTAAGAAGTCTACTGACAGTATCAGTACTGTTTTGAACATACTCAGAATAATTTAGCTTCATTTTGAACAGGATTCTGTTGTTTTAACTGTTGCTGAAGAAACTATTACATAGTTAAATTGTTTAGAAAGTCTCTCTCTTCGTTTTGATATTTTGAGATGAGTAGTATTGCTTGGCTTTTATGATGCATGCAGCTTTATTGTCACATTTTTTGCTAAAATTTATGGCCAAATGTTTACTGTTTTAAGCACATAAGTCATTTCTCAGTGGAAATTATGTGGAATTAGAAATATAGCCACTCTTTCCTGCTTCCTACTGTAAATTTGAACTATTCTGCAACATCTTTGGTTTCACAAGCCAATTCTATTTTTTCCAGATATTTAAAAATATTCATCTGTTTGATTTTATTCTCATATTTTTAATTATTTCAATAGCTATTTGGGAACAGGTGGTGTTTGATTAGATGGATAAGTTCTTTAGTGGTAATTTCTGAGGTTTTAGTGCACACATCACATGAGAAGTGTACCCTGCACTCAATGTGTAGTCTTGTATCCCTCACCCCCTCCCACCCTCTCCTCTGAATCCTTAGAACCCACTATATCATTCTTATGCCTTTGCATCCCCATAGCTTAGATCCCATTTATAAGTGACAATTTAGAATGTTCAGTTTTCTATTCCTGAATTACTTCACTAAGAATAATGCCCTCCCACTTTGTACAAGTTGCTGTTAATGCCATTAGTTTGTTTATTTTTATGGCTTAGTAGTATTCCATGGTGTATATATATATAGTATGTATATGTGTGTGTATATGTGTGTGTGTGTGTGCGCGCACGCGTGTGTGTGTGTATACATTTTCTTTATCCACCTATTGGTTGGTTGATGGGCATTTAGGCTACTTCCATTCTTTTTTTTTTAATTGCAAACAGTGCTGTTGGAAACATATATGTGTGTGGGTCTTTTTCATATAAAGACTTCCTTTCCTCTGTAAAGATACACAGTAGTGGGATTGCTGGATTAAATGGTACTTCTACTGTTATTTCTTACAGGAATCTTCATATGGTTTTCCATAGTAGTTGTACTAGTTTACATTCCCATAGCAGCATAAAACTGTCCCCTTTTTACCACATCTATGCCAACATTTTATTATTTTTGGATTTTTAAATTATATTCATTCTTTCAGGAGTATAGTGGTATTGCATTGTGGTTTTGATTTGCATTTTCCTGATAATTAGTGAAGTTGAGCATTTTTTCATATATGTTGGCCATTTATATATCTTCTTTTAAGAATTGTCTATTTATTACCTTAGGCTACTTTTTGATGGGTTTTTTTCTTTTTTTTTTTTTTTTAGCCATTTGTGGATTCTGGACATTAGCCTTTTGGTGTGAGATGCATAGTTCATGAATATTTTCCACTACTCTGTGAGTTGTCTGTTTACACAGCTGATTATTTCTTTTGCTGGCAGAAGCTTTTTAGTTTAATTAAATCACAACTATTTATCTTTGTTTTAGTTGCATTTGCTTTTGGATTTTTGGTCATGAGGTTTTTGCCTAACCCAATGTCTAGAAGAGTTTTTCCAGTGTTACCTTCTAGAATTTTTTATTGTTTCTGATCTTAGTTTTCACTATTTGATCCATCTTGAGTTGATTTTTTATAAGGTGGGAGACAAAGGTGAAGTTTCATTCATCTACATGTGGATTGCCAATTATTCCAGCCCCATTTGTTGAATAGAGTGTCATTTCCCCTTTATGTTTTTGTTTGCTTTGTCAAAGTTCAGTTGGCTATAAGTATTTGTCTTTATTTCTGGAATCTCTATTCTGTACATGCCTGTTTTCATACTGATACCATGTTGTTTTGGTAACTTTTAATGTGCCTTATAATACATTGGGTAATGTAATGCCTCTAGGTTTGTTCTTTTTTGTAGTCTTTCTTTGACTATGCAGGTTTCAAAGCCGAGAATCAAATAAAGAACTCATCCATTTTGAAAATAGCTGCAAAAAAAAAAAAAAAGAAAGAAAGGAAAACAAAACAAATTACTGAGGAATATATGAGGAATATACCTAACAAAGAAGGTTAAAGACCTCTACAAAGAAAACTACAAAACACTGCTGAAAAACGTCATAGATGACACGAACAAATGGAAATACATCCCATGCTCATGGATGGGTAGAATCAATTTTGTGAAAATGAGCATATTGCCAAAATAAATCTATAAATGCAATTCAATTCTCATCAAAATACAATCATCATGCTTAAGAGAACTAGAAAAAAAAATCCTAAATTTCATATGGGTTTTATTATCATTTTTGGCCTTTAATAAAAAATGTAAGTCCTTAATTTTAGGTTGTGATCATATAGAAATTGCACTCTAAAGGGACTTAGTGAATTTTCAATCTTGTTAAACATACATGTACATATACATGTCCATTTCTTTTAAAACAAGACACAGCATCAATTAACTAGCTAATAGGTATGTTATTGAATTTAAAATTCAAAGTGTGTTTTGAAGACAGCTTGAAATAATTATTATTATTCTACATAACTATATTTTAAATGATCATATCTATTTTTTTATTTTCCACAGAGATTTTTGATTCATCCCTCCTACAAATGTAATATGGAAACATAAATTTTTTAGTAAGTCAAAAATATTTACAAAGAATACAAGAAGTTTATAAATTTTGTGGAAAATACTTAAATTAAGCCATCAATCTCCTTTAATCTACATATCAGCGAAGCATTTTATGATCAAACTAGTCCAGATTGACAGAAACCTAGTTGTCTTTGTCACTAAAAAGTCTTACCATTTACCAATTTTCACAAAAAATATTCTCCGGCACAAGGTGTGATTAAAAACAAATATATTTATATATATATATATATTTATAATTACATAGACATAGATAAATCACGTTTATATATATATATATATATATATATATATATATACACACACACACACACACTCTAAAACATTGATAAGATGGAGGAATTATAGAAAATTTTATGCAAATCTTCTAGGAATTAATAAAGATATAAAGAAAAGCAGAACTTATATAGTGCCAAAGATTAATAATGTTGTTTTATCATGCTTATAAACCTGTATTAATTCACATAAAACCTATCCTATAACACGCATAACAAAAGATTGGTATCCATTGTTCAGTGAGTACTAGAAATCACTAACCAAAACCGACAAACAATCTAATAAAAAATTGATTAAAATATGAAGAAGCAATTCGAAGTAAAAATGGCCCATAAGATATAAAAGATTAAAAAGTTACTGATGCTTAGTAAAATAGAAATAATGCCAACAAATTGATGTCATAGAGAAGATTTTCACCCTATAAAAACCTGAGAAATCTATTTTTGAGGAAGTAAATTTGAAATAACACTTTTAAATAAAATGTGAATATGCCGTTTGAAACTGAAGTTCTACATCTAGGAATCTGTCATGCAGAAATCCGTGCATATAAGCACATGTATGAACAGAATGATTTCTCCAGCACTTAAATGGCTTTCAGTCAATGAACACATGTACCTCCAACAAATGTATGAGGGTAGCCATTGCAGAGAACAGGTTCATTATCACATTGCTAAACAGAAAAAGTAGTTTCCAGAAAAACAAAAAAACGTATTTTTTCAATGAAATAAAGTATATGTAAACTGTTACAAAGAAGAAAGAATCTTGAAAAATACATGTAATTACAAGGATGAGAATTTAAATTTTTATTCTATATAATTCTGCAATGTTTAACTTTTCACAAACGTTTTCATGTATTAATTATGAGATTTAAAGTTTAATTTGTGAAATGAACACAGCAATTCAAGACAGGAAGTTCCAAAATGTAACATCACAAATTAATTTATTAGTGTCATTCAAAAAACTTGATAATGTTTCTTGTATGTTATCTATTTTATCCACTTGCAGCTTGTTTTTAGAACATTTGTTCTGTTTTTGAAAATATGTTTGAATAAATAAAATACAATGTTTAAAAATTGCAGTAATTGTAGAAATCTAAATTCATGTAATTTTTTTCTTGTACTATTTTTAATATTTTATGAATCATATGATAGTTTAATAACTTCTGCTGCCTTCTTTGAAAGGTTATATGTGTTGTTATTTTGAGATATGACTATAAATACATTGACAATTTTCCTATCAAGTAGTATCCCCTCCCTTTGAAGTTTGGCAAACTTTGTAACTGTCTCAACTAAAAGAAGGTAGTGAAAATAATGCAGCTAAGTTTTCAAAGCTCTGCTGGAAACAGAGCATGTTCTCGCTCTGTTTCTCCTTCTCTCTTTCTGTCTCTTCTTTTCATGTCTTTTTTTCTGTCACTATTACCCAACACCTCAACAACTCAGTCAGTAGTCCCCATAACAAATGACAATTTGGTAGAGAGACACAAATATATGCCTAAGGAATCCTGGTAGCTCACTAGGACTTGGAACCTTTCAACACGAATCACTAAGTATGTAAGTGAATGATCTTCAAATAATTATAGACCCAGGCACCATAGAAAAGTAGCTACCTAAGAAACTCATTGGAAGGAACACACAACTGAGCCCACCTAACACACAGACTCTGAGAGATGATAATGAAATGATTACAGTTGTTTTAAGGCCCTACATTTGAAAACTATTTGTTATGCAGTGATACACACCTGGAATAATAATTCTACATATCTTAAATTATACATTTGTAATAAAATTACAATTAATATATATCTACATAAGTGGGAAACTGTGATACTACACTTTGAAAATATATGTACCCCAAAGAGGAGTGTCAGCATAACACGGTGGTTAAGAGCTGGCACTCTGGATCCAGAAGGCCTTGATTCAAGTCTTAGAAACCACCATATAATGATGTGGGATTGGACAGGTTACTTGGACTTTATTTGCCTCAGCTTCCTCACCAATGAAATTGCAATGATTGTCATAGCATTATCACTATCATGGGGTTACCAAAAGAATGAATTCATTAATATTGCAAAGCACTAACAACTGTGTGTACAGCAAAATAAAATTTGCACTATTATCATTAAACAAGTCAAAAAATTTCCATAAAAATAACTTTAGTGTTTATATAATTGCATAATATATTATAGTTTCAAAACATGTTATGTTTCTAATGCAAATGATAAAAATGACAGCATTTACTATTTCAAGCATGTGGGAAATAAATTTGTAGCATAAACCAAGGGCTGACAAACTATGGCCTCTTGGTTTCTCAAATCTGGTCAGCCACTTTTTAAAAAAAAAAATAATTGATATAGGAATCTCACACCACAAAATTTTACACTTTACGCATTTAATCTGTATGATTCATTGGCATTTAACATATTTGAAATGTTGTGCCACTATCACCACTATCCAGATCCAAATTATTATTTTTTCACTACAAAAGGAAGCTTTATACCCATTAGAGAGTCATCTCGCATTCTCCCCTCCTTCATGCCTTGCAACCTGGAATTATGAGTTGGCATGATTGTATAACCTATTGGGTAATATTACTTAAAAAATTGCAAATATGTATATAACTTCGACAAAGTGTTTTATTTTTTCTTCTAACATCTCCTATTTCTAAATAGCAATTCTATGATGTATAAAATTAAACTTTTATGTTTTAATTGCTCTATTAAATATATTCAGAGGTGCTGTGATTTACATTGTTATGAGTTCTTTCCAATTTTATATTGAAGTCTCTTTCTTGAGAATGGCCTTAAACCAAGACCCTGGAAAGTTCTGATGGAGGTGGGGAAGTGAGTTTCAGATATATGAGTGAGGTAAAATATAATGAAATGAGAAAGGAAGAACAAAATACATAAAATAGAAGAAATTTATTACTCACAGTTCCTAAGTGATGTTAGGGATGATGATAGAAAACTGAAAGAAAGTCCAGAAGTGGCAGAGAGCTCAACCACCTGCATAGAAGTGTGAGGGGGAACCTCTGTGGGAGGACTTTTATTAAGGACCATGGGTATTATTTCCTAGGCTTCTCTGCAGGAGTTGAGGAATGGCTAGCTTAAGGGAAAACACATGAAGGGGAAAATTATTATACGACTCTGGTATTGATCATTAGGTTATATCATGGTCATCACTTCCGTGATGTGTTGCATTTCTGGGTCATTAGGATGAGAACCAAGTAGACTCTACCTCAATCAACTACTTGAGGAAGGGAAGTTTTAACAAAGCCAAAAGTGACAAGCTATGACTAGATCTTAAACAACTCATGTTAAGCCTAAAAATCAATGCTGAGGCAGAACAAATTTATGACAAGAAGGCAGACAGACATTTTAGAAGAAAACATGACCCAGCCACTTCCAGATTGGTAGCATAAAAAGTACCAGGTATCAGCTCCAAAATGTGACAAGAATAAATAGTGAAAATTGTTTTTAGAGGCAACTATTTAAACATATTAGGAGAAGTTGACTGCAGTGGCATGCACCTATAGTTCCAGCTACTCAGGAGGCTGAAGAGGGTGGACTACCGGAAGCCAGAATTTCAAGGCCAGCCTGGGCAACTTTTTGAAATCACACCTCTTTACCATTTTCCAGTTTAGGAAGAAAAGGGTACAGCTCACAGCCAGCACTCATTTAATTTCACATAAATACACTCTTGGAGGCTGAAGCAAATCTGTTTCATTTTCAGTGTGAACATGTATTACAAAAACTTTTTTTGGAGCTATTTCTAAACAGCTAACATCCAAATCATCCATTTTAGAAAAATTGCATTCATCAAATTAATCTTCAGCCAACAACTGCTCAAGAACGATGTTAACAAAAATTCATTAGAAGGGACCATTTGCTTGACGAAGCTGAAGGTCTTTTACCAGATGACGAGCTTACATTATTTTGTGAGATGAGTGTGGTACTAGATTCAGTAAACATATCAGGACATACTAATACAAATACTTTGAAGGTGGCTGAGTGTCGACTAGGAGAAGATTTATGTAATCTCTGTGAAAACACAAGATGTACAGACTGTAGTTTTTTGTGAGAGGACAAGAATTTAAAGCTCATAAATCTGCTGGTACCTCCATCCCCAGTTTTTAATGCCATGTTTGAACATGAAATGGAAGAAAACATAAAGAATCGAGTGGAAATAAATTATTTAGGCCCTGATGTTTTTAAAGAAATGATGAGATTCATTAACACAGGGAAATAACTAAACCTTGACAAAATGGCTGACAACTTGTTGGCAGCTGCAGACAAACATGCACTGGGAACAGCTGAAAGTCATGTGTGAGGAAGCTTTGTGTAGTAATCCCTCAGTAGAAAATGTTGTTGATACACTTGTCCTTGCAGATTTGCACATTGCAGAACAGTTGAAAGCAAAAGCCATAGACATTATTAGTAGGTGCAGTGTACTTCGACAACTTGGGTGTAAACATAAGAAAAACTGGAACAGCAACCAAGCAACCGACATAATGGAAACATCAAGGTGGAAGTCCATGATTCAGTCTCACTCTTACTTAGCAGCAGAAGCCTTCTGAGCACTAGCATCTGCACAGTGTCCACAGTTTGGCATTCCACACACACGGCTAAAACAGTCCTAAATCTTCCGTGAACAGTTGAAAAATGGAATTGACTTTTAGTCATTCAAGTCCAGAAGGATTCTAATACATAAACCATAAGGAAGATTTGTTTCTGTTACTTGGTCCACAGAACAGAAGCTGAAAAAAACATATTGCTTGCATTTTAGGTGGATAATTAATGGTTTATTCTTCAGGTTTAAGTTAGACTGATTAATTCACTTCAAGGCCTTAAATTATTTTCAATGACTTTTCTTGTTTGTATAATAATGCTTTATTTTCTTTTATTTTGCCTTGTCATTTTGACCAATGCTATGCAAAATTATATAAATCAGCTTTATAATGCAGTAATAATGATAACTGAAGATACTAAGTTTCAAAAAGATCTTGTGTTTTGTAGAGGAAAAATGTATTTTATAGGGTTTGTCCTATGCTATCTCAAGGTTTAAGATTAAATTCTGTTTAAAAGCAATCGTATTGGAGAATACCAGTAATGTCTTCAATCTAAGTTCTATAAATACCAGAGAACACACTTACCTTCCCAGTAAGTTACCACAAAACAAGTGTTTGTCCTGTATGTTAACTGTCCCACAAACTGTGGGCTTATCTACATTTGCAATGATTGAGAACTGAATGAGGTTAAGACATCATGAAGAAAGCATGTATTGTGTGGAGGTAATTTTTCAAATTTATAGTGACCTACATTTATATATATATGTTAAGAGTAAGGATGACCAAACGTAAATTTAATGAGTGGACCAATTAACCAAGATATATATATATATATACACATATATATATATATACACACACACACACATATATATATACATATATATACACACACACATATATATATACACATATATATGTAAAATATACACACACACACATATACACTTTCACTTTTACTGTGTAACTTTTGTATGCTGAATGGTACATATTTATTTTTGCTTTTGAGAGAGTTAATAAGGTAGAATTAATTGTGTCTTAATATTTTAAAGAAATTTTTAGAAGGAGGCAACTAGGATGTTTGTGATAATAGATAAGAAAGATATTCTTGATTGTATTAAATAGTTTTGGATTGCAGAGATTCATTATCGAATTTACTCCTGTTTTTTCACACTTTGGAAAATATACCTAACAATTAATGAATCTTGGATAATCTACTCTCCTTCAAAACCTGAACTGAAGGCTGAGGTGGGTGGATCACCTGAGGTCAGGAGTTTGAGACCAGCTTTGCCAACATGGCGAAACCCTGTCTCTATGAAAAATACAAAAAATTAACCAGGCCTGGTGGTGGATGCCTGTAATCCCAGCTACGTGAGAGGCTTGCTTGAACCTGGGAGGCGGAGGTTGCAGTGAGCCAAGATCACACCATTGCTCTTTAGCCTGGGTAACAAGAATGAAACTTTATCTAAAAAAAAAAGAGAGAGAGAGAACTGATACTTGCCTGTGGGAGACACATACAAAAAGAGAGAAACCTTACAGTATATCAGGTCATACACCATGAGCATCCCCACCCACCTCTTATTTCTTCTTTGTGTTTCAGTTACTGTACTAACATTGTGGATGATATGGAAATTCTGCTTAATATGAACAGTTATAAACTATTTATAATTTGGAAAAAAGAGAATGACACCAAATGATAACTTGAATTTATAAGAACAAAAAAGAATGGTAATGAGGAGGTGCAGTGTGGCATTTTGGTATTATCATGATATTGGAGGCAGGTAACAGATATCAACAAATTCTGCCCTGTCATTTAGTACTTTTGTTTACAGGATTACTGAGGGGTACACACTACAAATGTTATCAGAAAGGAGTTATGAAGGAGTTATGTTTTAATGGGTAACTTCATTAGCACAATAACAAGGAGTAGGTATTGAAAAAAATCTAAAACATATCATGGAGTTTAGGCTTCCCATGTAATCTGGGCCTTTTTACTTCCCCTAATTTTGAAATAGGCCAATTCAGTATGTTGCTCAGGGGGCTATTCAGAGAATGGAAACCCAAGGCTCACCCCTCCCTGAGTCTAAGTACCACTAAGCCAGGTAGATTTTGAGAAATGGAAAAACCAAACTGCCTTGGTGATTGGACTTTGCCAATGTCTGAAAGAAAGGAGTAACAGAAAAGAGGGGGATCTAAGGTAGATCCCGTGCAGTATAAAATGTGCCCCAAAAGGACTTTGCTTCTAACACATATATTGATGCTACCTCCCATCTGAGAAAGAAGGGGGATATAAGCAGGACTCAAGGCCAGGAACAGTGGCTCATGCCTATAATACCAGCACTTTGTGAGGCTAAGTGGGAGAATCCATTGAGCCCAGGAGTTTGAGACCAAACTAGATGACTTAGAGAGAGCCCATTTCTAAAAATAAAAAAAAAAAATAATAATAATAATAAAATAGCAGGACATGGAGGTGAATGCCTGTAGTGTCAGTTACTCAGGAGGCTGAGGCAAGAGGATTGATTGAGCCTAGTAATTTGAGATTGAAGTGAGCTATGATTGCACAACTGCATTTCAGCTTCAGATACACAATGTGACCCTATCTCAAAAAAGACGAAGCAGGAGAAGGAAGAGGAGGAGGAGGATGAGGGAAAGGAAGAGGAGGAGGAGAAAGAGGAAGAGGAGGAGGATGGGAAAGAAAGCGATATGGAATAGGGGCAGGGAACTGCAAGGAGGAGAAGCTTAGGAACCTGGCAAGGGCTCCACCCCTGACTTGTGCCCCGGGACCTAGGTGAAGACAGGCACTCCTGCTTTCATGCCCAAATGTTGCATTTCCCAAGACCACACTGCCCTGCCACGCCCCCATCATGTGCCTATAAAAACCCCTGAGACTCTAGCAGGCAAGCACACAAGTGGCTGGACATCAAGAGGAGTGGATTAGCAGAAGAAGAAACAAATGTCTGGACGTCAAGAGGATGTCCAGGGGAGCATGCAGGCAGGCCACCAACTGGCAGAACAACACGGAGTTTGACTGGGGTGGTTGGAGAGCAGCCCGACTCCAGGGGAAAACCGTCCCCTTTCTGGCTCCCTCATCTGCTGAGAACTACTTCTACTCAATGAAACCTTTCACTCATTCTTCAAGCCCACGACGATCCCATTCTTCTGATACACCAAGGCAAGAACCCCTGACACAGAAAACCCTCTGTTCCAGTAATAAGGCAGGCGTCTAATTGAGCTGACTAACACAAGCCATCTATGGACTGCTAAACTGAAAGAGCATCACATACCGTGTAGAAGGAAGCCAGGCAGGGAGAGAGGTACAGATGCTTCTTCCACCATAAAATTTAGTAATAACTAGCTTTCTAATATGTACAACACAACTCTGATATTTGAATATTTATAAAGCAGCTTTTAGTTTTATATCCTGTATAACATTCTTGTAATCACCCATACTAATTTTTTTGATGCAAATGTGTAGTTACTTTTAAAACTCAGATAGCAAGTAGATGTTAGAAACTTGTAGATTATACTCTAGTTTATGAAGATTGCTTGGTAATTCCAAAATCAGTGCCACATTGTGGTACTAGGCATGTACTCTCTGGCTTAGCTATAGCAGACCATATAAACCACTGCTGTCAATGCTTTGGATTGTGCCATTGAAGAGCTAAGAGCCAGCAGAATGAAATTTAGCATCACCACAATTTTGGGATATTTTAAACAGACCTATTATTAAAGAACTGCCAATCAGTCTTTTCTACCTTTAAATGATTTCCAATTGTAGCAAATGAGATATTATTCTGGATATATGGGAAAAAAGTCACTTGAGTTTTTTTCTTGGAAACAGTGCTTAATAATTTGTAACTGGAAAAAATATATATGTGCTTTTTAAGCAAATTCATGTACTTCTCATACATAGATGATTGATAGATTTGCTTTCTTTGTAAATCATCAGATATGAGAATATAAGTTATGAAACAAGTGAATATAAGTAAACTCATTGCCAATTCATTGTTTTAGAAATGAAAAGCTTAACATTATATTTGGAAGTTGAAAGTAAATGTAGTAAATACATTAATAAAAAAGGTGTACATGATCAAGTGGGCTTCATCCCTGGGATGCAAGGTTGGTTCAACATATGAAAATCAATAAACGTAATCCAGCATATAAACATAACCAAAGACAAAAACCACATGATTGTCTCAATAGATGCAGAAAAGGCCTTTGACAAAATTCAATAATCCTTCATGCTAAAAACTCTGAATGAATTAGGTATTGATGGGATGTCTCTCAAAATAATAAGAGCTATCTATGACAAACCCACAGCCAATATCACCCTGAATGGACAAAAACTGGAAGCATTCCCTTTGAAAACTGGCACAAGACTGGGATGCCCTCTCTCACCACTCCTATTCAACATAGTGTTGGAAGTTCTGGCAAGGGCAATCAGGCAGGAGAAGGAAATAAAGGGCATTCAATTAGGAAAAGAGGAAGTCAAATTGTCCCTGTTTGCAGATGACATGATTGTATATCTAGAAAACCCCATCGTCTCAGCCCAAAATGTCCTTAAGCTGATAAGTAATTTCAGCAAAGTATCAGGATACAAAATCAATGTGCAAAAATCACAAGCATTCTTATACACCAATAACAGACAAACAGAGAGCCTAATCATGAGTGAACTCCCATTCACAATTGCTTCAAAGAGAATAAAATACCTAGGAATCCAACTTACAAGGGATGTGAAGGACCTCTTCAAGGAGAACTACGAACCACTGCTCAATGAAATAAAAGAGGATACAAACAAATGGAAGAACATTCCATGCTCATGGATAGGAAGAATCAATATCATGAAAATGGCCATACTGCCCAAGGTAATTTATAGATTCAATGCCATCCCCATCAAGCTACTAATGACTTTCTTCACAGAATTGGAAAAAACTACTTTAAAGTTCATATGGAACCATAAAAGAGCCCACATTGCCAAGTCAATCCTAAGCCAAAAGAACAAAGCTAGAGGCATCATGCTACCTGACTTCAAACTATACTACAAGGCTACAGTAACCAAAACAGCATGGTACTGGTACCAAAACAGAGCTATAGACCAATGGAACAGAACAGAGCCCTCAGAAATAATGCCATATATCTACAACTATCTGATCTTTTATAAACCTGACAAAAACAAGCAATGGGGAAAGGATACCCTATTTAATAAATGGTGCTGGGACAACTGGCTAGCCATATGTAGAAAGCTAAAACTGGATCCCTTCATTACACCTTATACAAAAATTAATTCAAGATGGATTAAAGACTTACATGTTAGACCTGAAACCATAAAAACCCTAGAAGAAAACCTAGGCAATACCATTCAGGACATAGGCATGGGCAAGGACTTCATGTCTAAAACACCAAAAGCAATGACAACAAAAGCCAAAATTGACAAATGGGATCTAATTAAACTAAAGAGCTTCTGCACAGCAAAAGAAACTACCATCAGAGTAAACAGGCAACCTACAGAATGGGAGAAAATTTTTGCAACGTACTCATCTGACAAAGGGCTAATATCCAGAATCTACAAAGAACTCAAACAAATTTACAAGAAAAAAAAAAGGAAAACAATCCCATCAGAAAGTGGGCAAAGGATATGAACAGACACTTCTCAAAAGAAGACATTTATGCAGCCAAAACACACATAAAAAAAGCTCCTCATCACTGGCCATCAGAGAAATGCAAATCAAAACCACAATGAGATACCATCTCACACCACTTAGAATGGTGATCATTAAAAAGTCAGGAAACAACAGGTGCTGGAGAGGATGTGGAGAAATAGGAACACTTTTACACTGTTGATGGGACTGTAAACTAGTTCAACCATTGTGGAAGTCAGTGTGGCGATTCCTCAGGGATCTAGAACTAGAAATACAATTTGACCCAGCCATCCCATTACTGGGTATATACCCAAAGGACTATAAATCATTCTGCTATAAAGACACATGCACACGTATGTTTATTGTGGCACTATTTACAATAGCAAAGACTTGGAACCAAGCCAAATGTCCAAGGATGATAGACTGGATTAAGAAAATGTGGCACATATACACCATGGAATACTATGCAGCCATAAAAAATGATGAGTTCATGTCCTTTGTAGGGACATGGATGAAGCTGGAAACCATCATTCTCAGCAAACTATCACAAGGACAAAAATCCAAACACCGTATGTTCTCACTCATAGGTGGGAATTGAACAATGAGAACACATGGACACAGGAAGGGGAACATCACACATTGGGGACTGCTGTAGGTTGGGGGAAAGGGGGAGGGATAGCATTAGGAGATATACCTAATGCTAAATGATGAGTTTATGTGTGCAGCACACCAACATGGCACTTGTATACATATGTAACAAACCTGCACATTGTGCACATGTACCCTAAAATTTAAAGTATAATAATAATGATAATAATAATAAAAGGTGTGGACCATTAGTAATTTCTTACTCTTCTTTTCACTGGAATTATGTCTGCCTAATGATTACTTAAATATTTGAATTTTTCATTTATTATCTCAATATCTAAGTCACTATGTATAAAACATCATGATTTTATTTAATCTGGTTCAATATAAAATCCAGTCAAGGAAATATAGATGTTCTGTTCACTTCAGTCTTCTAGCAGTTCTCATTACTTAACCTGCCTTGTCCTCATTTCCTTGTCAGCCATATGGAAAGCATTTAAGTAGGTGACTTCCATCTTTTTAGAATTCTTTTTTTTTTTTTTGAGATGAATTCTCTCTCTGATGCCTGGGCTGGAGTGCAGTGGTGTGATCTCAGCTCACTGCAACCTCTGCTTCCTGGGTTCAAGCAGTTCTCTGCCTCATCCTCCTGAGTAGCTGGGATTACTGGTGCCTGCCACCATGCCTGGCTAAATTTTTTATATTTTTAATAAAGATACAGTTTTGCCCCCTTGGCCAGGCAGGTCTGTAACTCCTGACCTCGTGATCCACCCTCGTTTGCCTCCCAAAGTCCTGGGATTACAGGCGTGAGCCACTGCACCCGGTCCCTTTTTAGAATTCCAACAGACATGCTCCAATTTGAATTTGACTCATAAAACAAGGTACTTACTTTCTCTTTTTTTTGAAGTTTTACGTTCAGGGGTACAAGCGCAGGTTTGTTACATAGGTCGGCTTGGGTCATGGGGGTTTGTTGTACACATTATTTAATCACCCAGGTATTAAGCCAAGTACCCATTAGTTATTTTTCTTGACTCTCTCCTATAAGGGGAAATTCAGCCCGATATCAGGTGAAATTCACCCCCAATATTTCATCTAGGTGCTTTTCTATTTCACTAAGCATCAGCCAGTCTGACAAATAAAGGAGTACAAAAGAGAGAAACTTTAAAGCTGGGTGTCTAGGGGAGACATCACATGTCAGCAGGTTCCATGATGCCCCCTGAGCCATAAAACCAGCAAGTTTTTATTAGTGATATTCAAAAGGGGAGGGAGTGTACAAATAGAATGTGGGTCACAGAGATCACGTGCTTCACAAGGTAATAGAATATCATAAGGCAAATAGAGGCAGGGTGAGATCACAGGACCACAGGACTGGGGCGGAATTAAAATTGCTAATGAAGTTTCAGGCACACATTGTCATTGATAACATCTTATCAGGAGACAGGCTTTGAGAGCAGACAACCTGTCTGACCAAAATTTATTAGGTGGGAATTTCCTCATCCTAATAAGCCTGGGAGCACTATGGGAGATGGGCTTATTTCATCCCTACAGCTTCGAACATAAAAGAAGGCCGCCCCCCCAGAAGTGGCCATTTCAGAGGCCTACCCTCAGGAATGCATTCTCTTTCTCAGCGATGTTCCATGCTGAGAAAAAGAATTCAGTGATATTTCTCTCATTTGCTTTTGAAAGAAGAGAAATATGGCTCTGTTCCGCCTGGCTCACCAGCAGTCAGAGTTTAAGGTTATCTATCTTGTTCCCTGAACATTGCTGTTATCCTGTTCTTTTTTCAAGGTGGCCAGATTTCACATTGTTCAAACACACATGCTCTACAAATAATTTGTGCAGTTAAGGCAATCATCAAAGGGTCCTGAGGCAACATACATCCTCCTCAGTTTACAAAGATGACAGGATTAAGAGATTAGAGTAAAGACAGGCAAAGGAAATCACAAGGGTATTGATTGGGGAAGTGATAAGTGTCCATGAAATCTTCACAAATTATGTTCAGAGATTGCAGTAAAGACAGGCGTAAGAAATTATAAAAGTATTAATTTGGGGAACTAATAAATGTCCATGAAATCTTCACAATTTATATTCTTCCACCATGGCTTCAGCCGGTCCCTCTGTTTGGGGTTCCTGACTTCCCGCAAGACTCTTCCTCCTCAAACCCTCTGCTCTCTGAAAGGTCCCAGTGTGTGTCGTTGCCCTCTATGTGTCCATGTGTTCTCATTGGTAGGCTCACTTATCTATATGGATCTATGGAAATTTGATGACAGGAAATCAGATACCTTAGTACAATAACTCAGCTGTACAAGTGGGTAGTCCAGAATAACTTTCTTGGTATGACTCTGAAGAATAAATTTTGAAAACTTGAGTAACAGCCAATCAGGATGATAATAGTCCCACAGAAAATTTCTGATTTACCATTTATTATTTAAAAACTCAAAAATAAAATCCAACTTCTTTTCGTTTATGTTCCAGTCTTGAGGAAATATATAATAAACTACAACAGTTGGCATTTGTTATACACAGTCATTTTTTTATGGTCAGAAAAAAACTACCTTTATCTCTAGTATAGTTGCATCTCATGAATAATTTTTCATTAATTTTCTGGGATGTCTGTCTACTAATTCAAATGTTCCACCTACCCTTTTCTCCTAACAGCTACGTATTTCAAATGCAACTGAAAAATAACAACCCTTCTTTTATTACCAGCAACTGCATTTTTTATGGAAATAAATCCCCAGTCTTCATTATGAAGTGGTAACACATTTTGTGATGGAGCGTGGCCTGTCCTTCCTCTATTCAAGCATCACCACCACCTTATTCCCTACTGCCCTGGACACCGTGCCCTATCACACTCAGTGACTCCACTATTTCTCTAAGAGAACATGTTCTACCATGCATCCTACTTCTGGGGGGCTGCAGCAGGGGATATGCAGTTTTCTTTATCCACAGTGTGCTCTATATGTCCACTTGACAATCTTGTATTTATTCTTCAAGTCTCAAGTCATATACCATTTCTTCAATGTGTAGCCTTCACTTTTCACCCCAGATGACTTAGTGCTTCTTTCTCTGAGATCTGAAAGTAATTTTAATGCAGTTTTACTGTTGCAGTAATTTGTTATCTAGAGAACACTGTCCATTCCATTGCCTCCTATTGAGCATTGCTCATTTTAATTCTAAGACTCATCACGAATAATTATTCAAACATTTATCTAATCCTGGGTCATCTAAAAACCAATGTTTTTATACCTCATGGTGGAGCCAATGGCACTTATGAGAGGATCAACCATGGGATCCCTATGGTGGGACTTCCTTTGTTTGTAGATCAACCCGATAAGTTTGTTCACATGAAGGCTAAGGGGGAAGCTGTTAGAGTAAACTCAAAAACAATGTCAACTACAGATTTGCTCAACGCATTAAAAGCAGTCATTAATGACTCTTCATGAATGAAATTTTTTAAACTACATAGCATGTATTGATAAGTTCTCACATGAAGGCCAAGGAAGCAGCAGTGACTCTAAACTTGAACACAATGCTGAGTACTTTTTTTTTTTTTTTGGTAACGCTTAAAGGAAATCATTAATAAACCACTGTGAGTATCACAACCTGTTTTTTTGGTGGTTTCAGTGGAAACATTTGTCAGAGGTTTTAGGATAGGGCATAAGTTTTAAAATAGCCAAAAAGTGAAATAAGAAGAATTGCTGAATATGGTAACAGAAGGATTATAAGGAAGACTGAAAACAAAGTTGAAGAAAAGAAGCATGAATATTATTACAGCACTGACTAATTTTCAGCACAGTTATAAGGGTCTTTTAGGATGAGATCTCATCAAACGTTAGTCTTCAAATAAATTTTATTTTGTCTATTGAAGGTATGGAAAGTGATAGTATGGGATACAAATACTTAGTTAAAAGGCTACCATAATGAAGCAAGTAAACATGTCCATCATCTCACTTTAGTTACCCTTTTTTCCTTGTTTTTAAAACTCTTGTAATTTGTTTTCAGTAAATCAGCATGATTTACTGATCAGATTGACATAATCAATCTCTAATTCCTATTATATTTAATGCTTTCCAAATTTTTATGCTAACATTTTTATCTCATCACTGATAACGTGTAAACAACTAGAGCTTTCAAATTTGCCTTTACAAATTATTTGAAAAAGAACATACTATATAAATGTAGCCATATTCTTTGTTCTTATGGTTGTGTTTGCTTTTGCTTATTTGGAAGATTTATAAAATTGAAAAATAATTGGTTTGAAAGAGATAGTTTGGAATATTCCTGTTTAATAGCCAAAATGTCCGAAACCAGAAATATAGGATTTCTAAGTTATTTCAGTACATACGTTAATTTCAGTTTTGCTATTACTATTAAATTGACAATATTATAAATTTTAATAAATATAATGCTGTGTTGAAAAATAAAGATAATTTTTAATTAGTTGATACCTATTCACTGTATATGAAATGACATGCATTATATTCATAATTTGTATTATGCAACTTCTTGGTTATAATTTTTCCCAATTGTATTGAAAATATATATCAGGTTTAATTCCCTCCTCTGAAATACATAGTCTTCCCACTCTGTTTTTTAAATATCAAAAAGAGAAGTTACCTCCGTTGCTATTGCTACAGTGCCATGCTTTAGCACCCTTTGGTTTCTACTTGGTAAGGCTTATGCTTACATTCATCCTTATTCCTTATTTATTAGTCCATAATTATTTCAGCACTGTTAATAAATGGGACTACAATGCCTCAAAGTAAAATATTAAGCCCCACTTAGATTTTAAAATCACAATGCAAGAAAAACAGTAACAATAGTGAACATTTACATAGAGTCTCATTATGATGAGAATAATTCTACCAAGTATCCTAAGAATCATTACTACTTACAATAAACAGATAAGAAAGATACCATTCTTATTCATTCAATTTAACAATTAAAAAAAAAACTAGGAACAGATACTTTTCAAAAAAATAAATAAATAAAAAAGCACCAGTAGATATCAGGTCATGATTCAAACTAAGGCCATGTACTTTTACACTTTTAATCACTAATTCACTCATATGATGTCAATACTAATTTCTGATCAATGCCAACTTCTTATCAGCTTTGCCCTGATATGGACCTGAACTTTGTCATAGATTTGTCTCCTATCTCTAGACTTTGATATTATTTTGAAATTTGCACACCAGGTTCATTACAATTTCATTAATGGCTAATTCAACCTCTGTACCCTCAAATGATTTATTTTTATCCTTTGGACTTAACTAATTTTAATTTCTAGCATAGAAACATTTGTTCTCTCTTAAATTCTCTTTTCACATCGTGAAATCTTATGCATCCAACAAATTCTAATCCATAAACCAAAATCTCTATAACCAACAGGAAATAAAATATTTTATTTTGCACCCACTTATATGTGGCACTAACTTTTAACATCTACACAAAAATTTCACATATTTCTATTTTATATTCTATAAGTTTATGTCTATTTGATTTTCGTTAACTGTAAAGAGAATGTTATATGGTTTCAGTCACTCATTATGATCAGCTTATGAAGCCCACAGACCAAACAGTCTTCTGGATCAAGTTTGTCATGCGCCACAGAGGAGCCAAGTACTTGCTGCCACCTGCCAACAGTCTCACATGGCTCCAGTACTGCTCTCTGGTTGTGCTGGCCTGCAAGGCAATTTTTACTCTCTTTGTGATAATATTTTGCTGGTTTGATTATCAAAAGTTTGTTAAGACAAGAAAAAAAAGAGAGTAGCACTGTTTGAGATCTAAGGCAGGCAGGCATGATAGGGAAGGTCATGACATTTAATGCCACCAATATTCATCAAGGTGTGGCAAAATTCTCCTCCATATTTCACAAGACTTGTGCCTTCCTGATTTATTCAAATATTTTACTCTTCATTAAACATTAAGTAATATACAATTTTAATTTCAGAAATCCTAAAATTACTCAATTTTGATGCTTACTTATGTATATTTCTAAACTGAAAAAAATGAGATTCACTGAAAACTCAAGGTTGTTTATTTAAGAAGGTGGGGAATAATGTATTTCTACTGTGCATTTTTAGAAACCCCTTTTTTATTTTATTTTTTACTTCCAACATTTATTGTAATTCCAGAGGTACATGTGCAAGAGGTGTAGGTTTGTTACAGAGGTAAAGAAAACTCTTCTGTATAAACAAATACAATGATATGGATTATGTGTGTCCCTGTCAAGAAAAACAGAGCAAGATCCTTCTTAAAAATGGCAAGACATATTTTGTTCTTACTAATGAAGTAGGAGATAGAGACTACAGTATAAACTGAGCTCAACTCTAATTAAGACAAAGGTAACTGAGGCTTTTAAAGAGAAAAGTGATATGAATAAATTGAGGAAAACAAAAAGTAGCTAGTGGGATATGTGAAAATGGAAAATTACATAAAAATTTAGTGGGAAATAATTGAAAATTATTAGACAAGGTGGATTAGGCAGTGTATGTATGTTTTGCAGTTTGGCAGCATCACATTCTTTTGAGTCAAGACCTACCATGGAAGCTAGGGTGACCTTTAAAGGCAAATTCATGACCTAGTGCACATATAAGCTAAGCTAAACTTGGCCAAGTCTCCTAACATGGTGTTTATACAAGTCTTTTCTGTTACATGGGAGTGTAAAAATAAGTCCTTCATGAAATACAAAATATTTCTTAATGAGAATGTTCTTTGTTTCAAAATTATTGATGGTCATAACTGACTTCCTATCCAAAACTATGCAACCTGGTAAAATCCTTAGTTAGAAAGACAAAAGATGTTTTCCACATGAGGCCTGGACTATGCTTGAGTTATTATTTTCACTTTAGTAACAACCCTTTGTAATTGGATAATAATACACAAAATAAAATGCCAGGCTAGTTCCCTTTAGATAGGAATTATAGATATGGTTCAGAAAGTTTAGTCCAGTCCCTCTAGATTACAATGTTACATGATTTCTGTCCTGCAATAATATCTCACTATTTCTTGGCCTTAACTTGTCAAGTCAGACATTTCCAACTTTTTTAATACCTGGAATACTGAGGATACACAAACCAGAAATATATACAATCATTTTACTTATTCTCCCCTCATAACATGGAAAAATAAATTGTAGATGGAATAAAGAGCCAAATATCCTGTACAATAATTTTTAAAATCTATGTTCAAGAAAGCATAATAAATGGCAAAAGCTCTCTAAACTCTGCCTTTAAATATTGGTCATTACAGCATCTGGATTCAGAAAAAGGTTTGCAAAGCAAATCACAGAGAAGGAAAAAACCAACTTAGAGCAGTTCTTCTGTCTGACAAGAGATGTGCCTGAACAATCAGATGGAAGAGAAGCATAATGATCATTCTAACACATGAAAAAGATTTTTATATTACTCTTTTCTATGAAAAAAATATTTTTAGCAACAATTGGTTATAAAACAAATTATTTTAATATCTAGAAAAGAAATATACACTGAATATTTTATTTTATTAAACTTTGAACATATAATCATGTCACTAGAAAGAAAAAAATAACAAAGTTCAAGAAAGGAAAAAAGTAATGCATTTGTGCACTTCAATTATAGTAATGTCTTTTTTTAAAAAAAACAGGGAGAAACTTATGGATAAATATTAGTCTGAGGCAATAATGATGTTCAGCATGTACTACAAAAGCTAAATTCTAGTCTGTTTATATTTCCTTAATGAAGTATCTTCTGAAAATGTATCGGAATATATCAGAATATACTTTCCTAATAAAGTATGTTCTTAAAATAGATCTTCTTTGAAATTCTTAGACCATATATCCAGATACACATATCTATGTCTATCCATGAGTGAACACATAATACTTTCACTAGTTTAATTCTGAGAAGCCTTTTTACATGAAGTGATATGTACATATATACTTAGGAAAATATGTGAACATGATGGTATGCTTGATGGAGAGTCATAAAAATTCCATTTTAAATTGGATTACAAAAATTGCAATAATATGATGTGTCTGCTCTTTGGGGATTGATTGTACAAGCTTTTAAATATCTCCGCAGTTAAAAAAATTTAAACACAGAAACTCTAAGCAATCACATAGAATGATATAATTGAAATAACATTCTTCAAATTTGCGATATTCTTTTTTTTAAATTTTGAATATGCTGCATAAAGACAGGGATATTCAAGCACCACAGAAGATAAACACAAAAATAACATAATTATAATTTTAATCTTTAAAATAACATATGAAGCTGAATCTATCTATGTCAAGGACAAATGGTTTATGTAGGAGTTTTCTGAATTAATTTCTTTGCAGAATGCAATATTTCTTAAAAGATAAAACAAATGTGCTATTAGAAGTTTTCCTCTTACTTTAAGTATATTCTTTAGTATTCTTAAGTATATTCTTTAACATTCATATTCTTAAACTTCAATATTAATGATAAACATTACTGAATAACTAAAGTGTGAGTCTTGGAAGGGATGCACCTTCCTGCATCAAGCACCTCACCATCACTCGAGTGTCCTCTACTGATGAAGCTTAACCTTCAACCAGCTGGCAAAAGAGGAATGCTTACAGGATCCTGATTCAGTATCATAAAGCTATATTTGGATCCGAGCTACAGTAAATTGAAAACTGGTGAGGCATAAAATTTCAAATTTCTCATTTGTTATTATTTTTAAGTTGTACCCTAAGACACTGAATCTTGGTAAAGTTTGGATGAGTAGGAGGCATGACTTTCTTTTTTGAAAGTGGGGGGCCATATAGAGGTTCAGACAAAGGTGAGCTTAGAGTTGGCCCACTGAGTCCGCAGTTCCACTGGTGGTCACTTGCCTAATGTCCAAATATATATTAAAAATTGCAATACTAGTAGGTTGGATTTTTTATTTCAGTAGTTGCTGGCTCAGACTTGGTTAGAGGGGATTCTTGTTGTGCTGAGCCTGTGGATGCCCTTCACCTATCACCACTCTATTCATACTCCCAACAAACCAGCACTGGAGTCGCCAGTTATTTGGTGCTTTACCTATGATAAATATTAATTTTTCCAATTCAAAGTATATGAAGATATATAATTGATTTCATTGTTAGTCCCTAAATAATAAACTGATTAATCACTTTTTGTGTTTATGATCTAGTCAGAACTTTGTTCACGTACTGCACTCATTTTTTCAAGTGATATTTTTCATTAGATTCTTCTTTAGTATAGAGACTTTATTAAGGATAAATTTATTATTCATAAGAGATCCAGAATCCTAAGTCATCATGACCATGGCTCAGAGTGACTGGCAAAGAGACAAAATTAATAAAGATCAGATAAACAAGTAAAAATTAATGAATAATCCTTAGATAAGGTGAACTTTGCAGTTGGATTGATCAATAATAATGAAGACATGCAGATTGCAAGAGGTAGGATAGAATGAAATAAAAATTGAGACAATCACATTGAAACAGGGCATAAATACTTTAACAAAGCATGTAATGGATAGTTAAGACCAAGAAAACAACTAGAAACTAGAGAGCTTTGGAAGAAAAACTAATCAGGAAAGCTTTAACAGAAGGTGTTAACAAGCAATACTTTTACATTTTAATCAGTTTACTGGTAATTTCGAGATCATTAAGTGATTCTTCTTGGGGGCTGTACCAGTCAATCATTCAGTTCCACTTTATTTTATGTAATCAAACAACATTTCATATAATTAGGGAGCACATTTCTGATTTCAAGAATATCTAATTATTTTTGTATTCATCCTCACCTCATCCCATTCTTGTTTTATGTTAGTGACTCTTTCATCTCTGAACATTTGAATCATGCTTATTTAAAAATATTTTTGTAAAGTTACGGTGGTTCACATCTGTAATCTCAACCCTTTGGGATGCTGAAATGAGAGCACTGTTTGAGCCCAGGAGTTTGAAATCAGCATGGACAACACAACAAGAGCTTATCACTACAAAAAATAAAATAATTAGTTGGGCGTGGTGACATGCACCTGTGGTCCCAGCTACTGAGGGGGCTGAGGTGAGAGAAACACTTCAGCTTAGTAAGTTGAGGCTGAAGTGAGCCGTGATCACACCACTGCACTCCAACCTGGACAACTGAGCAAGGCCTTAAAAAATAAATATAAAAATCGAAAATCAAAATCTCATTCTGATCGTTTCCTCTATCTAGAATCCTTGAGTGCAAATCTTCCAATTGTGTATGACTGCTTAGTTTCTCATGTAGTTTTCTTGGGGAAATCTTCAACAGGTTTTGCTTTCTGCAACATCCCTCATGTTCTGTATTGTAAGAGCATCCCTTCACAATTTTTTCAATTGTCTCTGCTGCAGTCTAGGGAGATCTCTAGTTCCACACATTTTTTCTCTACTTGTTTTTTAACAGGATGTCACTGCATCCTGTAGAGTAAATTTTGTTCCCTGCTTCTAGAAACTATGTCTCATTAGTTTTCCTCCCAAAAGTCACTTTGTCACAGCTCTTACAAGCATCTATTCACAGAATTCCCTCTGATTTTAACAATCGGTAAACATCCTTCCTTCATTTTTCGTTCGTTTGTTTGTTTGTTTTTACTCTAATGTGGAATCTGGAGTGCAGGGACACAATCTCACCTCATTACAAACTCTGCCTCCCCGATTCAAAGAATTCTCATGCCTCAGCCTCCCGAGTAGCTGGGATTACAGGCGCCTGCCCTGACATCTGGCTAATTTTTGTGTTTTTAGTAGAGATGGGGTTTCATCATGTTGGCCAGGCTGGTCTCAAACTTCTGACCTCAGGTGATCTGCCCACCATGGCCTCCCAAAGTGTTGGGATTACAGGCATGAACCACTATGCCTAGATCTTCCATCATTTTATACTAGGCTATATATGTTGTTGTATGTCATTTTTTCTTGTAGATGTGTATGTGTCTGCAGTAGAATAAATGGGAAAGAATTGAGCCACTTAGGATCACCTCAGTATTCTATGCCATATGATTAATTTGACGCCTGTTCATAGGAAACCTATTTTATATTTAAAATATCTATGAATAAATATTTTACAATGCATAATAAAGGTTTCAATAGTTGTAAACTTTTAAATTCACACACTTTTATGATTTTACTGTGTTTCTATTTTCAATATATAATGAATTTGCTAGTTACACAGTGACTTCTGTTGACTAACTCAACAGCTTATATTTTGGTGATTTAGAGACATGACTGCAAATACTTTGACATTCTAATCAAACCATAGTCCCTGCCCTTGCACTTTAGCAAGGCTTGTGGCTGTCTCAGCAAAGAAAATATGGTAGAAGTGACAGCGTAATTTTGAAGACTGTGTTAGAAAAGGCAGTATATTATCTCTGTCTGTCTCCTTGTCTCTGTCTGTCTGTCTGTCTTTGTTTTTACTTATATCTCTTTCTTCCTCTCTCTCTGTCCTTCTGCCTCTTTTTCTCCCTCCGTACACTGTGGAGCCCTGTATTACAGCCAAAGTCTTGATGATAAATGACTGTTTGGGGAGGGGCACACAGAGGAGACTAGGAAGTCAGGATTATTCAGTCAAAAAGGAGTTTCAGTCTTTCGACATCAATCACTAAGTATGTGAATGAATGACCTTCAGATGATTACATCCCCAGCCATCATATGAAAGTAACGACCTGAGAAATACTCTGTATGAACCACCTGGCTGAGCCCACCCAACACTCATGCTATGAGAGTTCTAATAAAATGCTTATTGTTTTTCAAAGTCCCCACTTTTGAGGGTAGTTGGTTGTGACGTGATAGATAACTAAAATATTTCTAAAAATGTAATTATACATTCATAATAATATATAATTAATATAGAGGCAAGAAAATGAAAACTACAAATGTAGCATTTTGAAAATAACTGAAACTCAGAAAGGGAGGTCAGCATAGCATGGTGGTTAAGAGCTTTTGTACTCTGCATCCAGTTAGCCTGGATTCAAGTCCCTGCAAAACCACTACAGAATTATGTGGGGTTTGGCAAGTTGCCTCACCTCTATGCCTCAACTTCTCCATCAGTGAAACGGAGATGAAGTAACGCCATTATCTACCTCATGTGGCTGATGAAAGGCCGGATGCATTAACTTGGTAAAGCACTACAGGTGCTATATGTAGCAAACTAAATTTGCATTAATTATAATAATTATTAACTAGACAGATAAATTTCCACAATGATTTGAGTCCTTACCTAAATTGCCTCATATATTTTTAAAAGTATCATTTTTCAAAAGTAAATGATAAAAATGACAGCATTTGCTATTTTAAATATGTCAGAATTAAATTTCTTATAATTTAATTAACCAAGGGTTGACAAATCAATTGGGTCCTCTGGGCAAAATTTGGTCAGCTACATGTATACATGTTTTTTTTTTAATATTTGAGGTAAAATTACATAAAATAACATGTACTATTTTAACCATTTAAAAGTGAACAATTCAGTGGCATTCACAGTATTGTGTAACTGTCACTTCAATCTAGATCCAAAACTGTCACCAACCTAAAAGAATGTTTATACACATTAGACAATCACTCTCCATTCAAGCTTACCCTATGTTGGTTATATGGCATTTTGTGTTAAAATCATTCTGTTGTATATTAGAAGATTTTTTTTTAAGACATACAAATTATTTTTTTCTTAATTCTCTTGGTGTTATGTATCACGTTTATGGGTTTGCATAGGTTTAACCTTCCCTGCATCCCTGAGATAAATCCCAGTTCATCATAGAGTATAATCTTTTTGATGTGCTGTTGAATTTGATTGGCTAATATTTGCTGAGAATTTTTGCATCTATGTTCATCAGAAAAATTGGCCTACAGAATTTTTCTATTTTTTTAAATTTTTTTTGGCTCCTTCTTTCTGGTTTTGCTATCAAGGTGATCCTTATCCCAGCCATAAAACCCTATTTTTTAAAGCATTCAATTCCCCTTAATGTTTTGGAAGAAACATTTTTAGAAAAATGGTTTATTTTTCAATAATTTGAATAAAATTAGTACATTTTTATGGAGTTTTTATTGCTGCTTCAATTTTGTTACTCGTTATTTCTCTACTCATGTTTCTGTTTCTTCATAATTCAATCCTGATTTGTTGTACATTTCTAAAAGTTTGTCTATATCCTTTGGATTTTTTAATTTGCTGGCAGGTACTTGTTTATGATAGTCTCTTATAATCCTTTGTATTTTTGTGTATCAGTTGTTATGTATCCTTTTCATCTCTTATTTCATTTATTTGAGTCATCTATTTTTGTAGCTATTCTAGCTGAAGCTTTTTCAATTTATGTATTAAAAAAGACAACTTTTCTCCTCTTGATCTTTAAATATTTTCCAAATGATTTTTTAACTTTCTGTTTATATTTTCGGTGTTTCCTGAGCTCTTTTATAAAAAGATGTGCTCTGAATTCTCTGTCAGAAATGTTATATATGTTTATTTCTTCTACTGCATTAGGTGAGTTCTGTTGTTTTTTAGCGGTGTTGTGTTTCCTTTCATCTGTACATTGCTGTTTCCATATTTAAAGAGATATTGACATGGTATAGCTCTTATAGGTGTATTCTTGTGTTGTTCAACCTTTACTATTTATTATTGGAATCTAATTCCTTGCCACCAGTTGCTTTTTGTTTGGGCAAGGACTTAATATTTGCCACCAGAATTTAATACTGCACCAAAACTCAATTCAATATTTGCTCTAATGTTGTTTTCCAGTCTTGGGAGACTTATTGTGAGCATCTGAACATAAATGCTGCACTGGAACTTAAACCCAGACTTGCAGTGATTTCTAGGTCTGCGAGAGATTTAAACAATCATTGGAACTTAATTTCAAACCTTATACTTGTTTCCCAGTCATGGAAAATCTCCATCCACATGACTCCCTGGGAATTGTAAAAAATCTTGTCAAAGATTCAGACCTTCTCTTAGATCTTGCCTCCTGCAGTGCTATGGTTCTGGTCAGACTCCTCAGTGTGGCATCCCTGTAGCTAGGTACACAAAGCAGACGCCAAGATCTGTGGGCCAATCACTGTGATTACTACTCTTACTTTTGGTCTCAAATTTACCCCAGGTGGTTCAGCCCTGTGAACACTCTCAATACCTCTTGTGGGGTGGGACAAATGTGGGCTTTCCCTCCAAATTTACAGACCCATGAAGAAATTATATGTCCACTTGAAATTCCCTCCTCCCATTTCAATAACTGCAGGTAAAAAGAAGTTATCTCACAGTGGTGTCATTTTTGTGTGTGGAAGGGGTTGGTATAGCCCCCAAAAATTATTCATCTTACCAATCATAAGTTTGTCATGTCCGTAAGTCTTGGGGTTTTCTCCTTCTCTATTGAGATCTGGTGAATTCAGAGTGGCATTTGTGTATTTGGATAGCTACTAGTTGTACTTTTGTTGGGGAATTGATGTTGGATTTTTAAAATTTTATTATTTTGTTGACATCACAAAATGCCAACAAATTGACACTTGATATTGTTGAAATAGTTTTATGAGTTTACTAACCATTATGTTTTTAGAATTTGATGTCTACCAAATATTAAACAAGATGGACATTTCTCACTTAAATGTTCTGTATAACTATGTGGTTGTGTGCTTTTTCTAGTAAATAATTATTATGTACTGAAGACATATGTTTCTAACACAAACTTTCTCATTTCTATGCTAAAATGCATCTCAGAATACAGGGACAATACAACTATATATATGTCAACTTCAAAATTTTATTTTAGAAGTATGCATAAACTGTATTATTCTATTTGGCATTGCATCTTTATAATGAAGAAAATTTTTTTTTCTGTAGGAAATAGAAGAATTTTTCCAGCGCTCTGATAAGGATGGTGTTGTTGTGTTTTCTCTGGAGTCAGTTGTGAAAAACCTTACAGAAGAAAAGGTTTATCTTATCACTTCCGCCCTGGCTCAGATTCCACAAAAAGTCAGTAGAACCTCCAATCCTTATAAGAAGCTATTCACACAATAGAGAAAGTATGGCTTTCCATTTGGAACTTGAATCTCATTTTTCAATTTGCGTAACAGGCGTTAGATTTACGTAACAATTTGGAAAACATTATGGTTGTGTATGTGGACACAACTGATTATTTGCCTAGTGATCTTTTCTATTGCTTTAGTAACACATCTCTTGCTTGTCATTTGTTAATAATAAAATAAAAATAGTGCATTAAGTCCCTATTCCACATTGCAGGATTTGAAATCTTGAGACATATTCTGATGACTCCAAAGGAAACTTTTTAAATATACTAGCTCAAAGGAATATAAAAATTGGGGAATTATATAAGAGAAGAATCATGCTCAATAGTATTCTCAACATATTTGATTATATAGGAACTCTATTCCACGTATTTGAACATAAAAGTAGAAGCTTAAATTTATGTAGTCTTTCTAATGAACTAGAGTTTTCTATAGTTAAAAGGCAATTATGGTTTTAATATTATAGTCTAGCAACCTGCATGTAATTCTTTATGATATTCAATTAGTTTTGTTATTACTGTAATTCTAGTTTTCCTCTCTTTAGTTAGTGCTATTTATACACCAGCCTAGAGGTTTTTTTTTTAATTTTATGTTTAGTTAAATTTCAAAACACTCAATAAAAGCAAGTATGGTAAATAGGAATGTGAAATTGGTTTTAGTCATGAGATTCTCGTTTTGGGAGTTCAGAGTATCTATGTAATCCTTTGTTTTCAAGTGTGAGATTTTCATATACGTTTCTAGAAAGAAAAAAGTATGGAACTAAGATACAAATACAAACAAAATTTAACCTTCAACAATGAAATATAGGTAACTCCTCTCTCTTTGTTTTTTAATTAAAGATAAATGAAATAAAGGAGAGAAGGAGGCATGAAGAGAAAAGACAACCAACTACCCAAAACCAGACAAAAACCAAAGCAATGTTTGTCTCTGGGAAACTATAAATTTGATAATAGAGCTAGAATGGCCAAGTGATTTACATTTACACAGAAGTTGTGTGTCCGTAAGAAATTGAACTTCCATATGCTGACAAATTAGCCAACACTGCTTTATTTTTTTGTTATTTTTATAATCTCACTCCTAGATGATTTGAGTTTGCAGGAAACAAAATAATAAATGGTATCCCCAAGAGTTTAATGGTACCTACCCTTTTAAGAGGTGACTGTCAACAGTCTTACTATTTTTTTCAGTGATTACATAGGACCCTTATATGCTCCTGTCTCAAATATCATCTGAAATAAAGTGGATTGTATGAATTATAATGATCTGAAAACTCAAAATGCTATTATCTTGTGGTTTAACTTGTGAAATGCATACATTTACTTCCTCAGGTTTTATAGAGATTCAAAGGAAAGAAACCAGCTACACTGGGAACCAATACTCAGCTCTACGTTTGGATATGCCAGAGCGATCTTCATGATAAGATTATGACGTAGTAAAAATGAGGAATTTCATAAGGGAAAAATTGAATAACTGTTTAACACCTAATAAATTTAACAAAAATTTAAAATTTATAGTTTGTTATTTTACCTTTAATTTTAAAGTATATATAATTGAGTAATTGTTGGTCATTATATTTTTTGATTCTTACTTTTATTTTTAAAGTAAGTTTCAAGCAATGCAGAAATAAATTAATGCCTCTTTTCCTTAAGAAAGCAAATTTCTTTTGCAATGATGCCCTTTTTGTTCACTTTTGTAGAAAATTCTGCCCTCTTCAGTGAGTTATTTCAAAGATTTTTTCCCTACATGTCTCTGAAATTCTTTTAAGAATTGTGATAATAAAAACCATACTTCTTATTCAGTTTCCCAACTAGGTCATGCACAAACCAAAGCTTTTATCACTCATGGTGATATAAATGGGGTCTATGAAGCTATTTACCATGGAGTCCCTATGGTGGGAGTTTCCTATGTTTGGTGATCATCTTGACAACACCTCTCACATGAAAGCCAAAGGAGCAGCTGTGCAGCTGAACATGAATACAATTACAGGTACAGATTTGCTTAGGTCTTTGAGAACAGGTATCAATAATCTTTTGTAAGTATTACTGCTTTAAAAGGCTTATCTACCATTGATTATGTTATATATCATACTAGAAAATGTTAGGGCCATACTGGAAGACTATTTAAAAGATCTTCCCTCTCAATCTCAGGTATTATCATCTTAGTATTGCCATTATCTTAGTATTGCAATGATTATATCATCAGGTATAATCATCTTAGTATTGCAATAGTCCTGGAAATGATAGTTCATAGAGTGTCAATCCTCCTTCTTGGAAACAGTAGATTTAAATTAACAACCAGCTTACTAAGTATTTTTCTACGTCTTCATTTTACCCCATTCTGCTAAGAATATGTGTCTTTTTCAATTTCCCCACCGTATCTGTTCAATGCTATGCAACCAATGAAGTTCATATCACAACAAAAATAATTCTTTTATTCAACAAGCTTTTGGCTTGTATAACATATGCTACGGTTTACCTACTTCTTTTTAATGAAAACAAAACAAAACTCTGTTTTCCATATGTGCTCTTGCTTTCCAATTATAAAGAGAATGCTATAAGGTTATCAAAAATTCACCATGATCGACCTGTAAAGCCCCTGGGTTGAGCAGTTTTCTGGATCAAGTTTGTCATGCACCACAAAGGAGCCAAGCACCCTCGGCTAGCTGCGCACAACCTCTCCTAGTACCAGTGCCACTCTTTGGGTGTGATTGTGGTTTTGCTGGTCTGTGTGGCAACGGCTATATTTTTGGTCACAAAACTTTGTTTGATTTCCTGTCGAACATTTGGTAAAATAGGAAAGAAGAAAAAGAGGAAATAGATGTTTCCGAATTTGGGAAAGGCAAGAATGGAGCAAGCTTGTTAATATTTCATCCACAGATAATTTAAAGAGAACACATTACTTTCTCCTCATTTTCATATTTTCCACTCTAAAACTCTGGGGCTTTCTGAATTCCTTTATGAGACTCCCTGCCACTCAAGAGCTATTGCTTGTAAGACTTTCATTCTTCATCAGTCTGGCGTTGCGTTTTGAGATCAGCAGCAATCAGAGTCCAGTTGGCCTTGTGTATGCAATATGTTCTGCCCTAACCATTTCGTCCTTTCCCAAGAATCTGCTCAGGGTTGTTATCCTCTCTCTCTATGAACTCCCAACCTAGAGTCCCAAAACCCATGAAAAACAAAGAAAGAAATATTGAAAAATAGGATTTTTAATGAGACTAATGTTTACATGAGTTATCAGAGAGGAAAGCAAAATTTACGTATCTACTATACATATAAAAATTTTGTGCGTATCAGATTGATTAAGACAGGAGTTTCCAACTTTTGCTAAACATGAAAAAAAGGGGAGTTTTGATTATAACAACACCAATGCCCATTTCTCTTAATAAATAATATCTGTCAAAAGCCAAGATTTTGTATTGTTAAAAGGTGTCTCAGTGATTCCAATGCATAGTGGAATGTGGAAAACATGGCTAAACTCAAATTTTAAAAAGTCACAGAAAAGAGAAAATCTTGAAAACTGCCAGTGAAAAATGGCTCATCACATATAAGTGAGCTAGAATAAGAGTATCAACAAGAATCTCAGCAGAAACCTCCCAAATCAAAAGTAAATGAGATGATATATTCAAAGCACTGAAAGAAAAAGAAAAAGAAACCTGCTAAACAAGACTACTATTTGGCAAAGTTATATCTTACAATATTTATAGAATATTGAATATCATCTATGGTAAAAAATAAAACAACAATTGAAGAAAATAGTCATTACAAGACCTGACTATAAGAGATGCTGTCCTTCAAGTTTAAATGAAAGGATGCTAGATATCAAAACAAAGGCATATGCAAATAGAAAGCTCTGTGGCAAGGGTAATCATACAGTCCAATATAGAGCTTCATAATGTTGGTGTATTAATTAATTTCAATTTTGGAATACAATTTAAAAGACAAAAACATTAAAAAACTATAAATCTATCTAAATAAGTCCATCTAAGAAAAGAACTGTTACACAACATAAAAAGCTATAATTAGTGACACCAGTAACATAAAGTGAAGATAGTAGTAGATTTTTCATATGTGATTGAAATGGTTTTGAACAATTTAAAATACATTTTTAAACTGTAAAATAATTATATAATCTTCAGAGTAACTAAAAAATATGCCTATAGAAGATACACAAAAAATAAATAAGAAACAAAACCTCATGATTTAACATGCACGGTTGCGTGAGAAAAGTTTCTAATAAATACCTACATAAAAAAGAAAATCTGACATAAGCAACTAACTTTACATCTCAAGAAATGCGAAAAAAATAATTTTAAGCTCAAAGACAGCAGAAGGAAGAAAATATTACAGATTTGAAGAGAAATAGAAAACTTTTTGAATAGAAAAAAATCAACAAAACTAAGAGTCAGTTTTTAAAATGGTCAATAAAATTGAAACTGTTTTATCTAGACTAATTTTAAGATAACAGAGAGAAGTGTTGAATAAACAAAATCATATATAAAACCTCTACAACTTAGCAACTACAACCCAATTTTTTTTAAAAAAGCACTTGAACATGCATTTATCCAAAAAATATTATATGGTCAAAAAGCATATAAAAATATGTTCAACATCACTAATCATTAGAGAAATGTAAATCAAAAATATAATGAGCTATCACTTCATAACCATTAGCATGGTGTATATGTGTGTCTGTGTCTGTGTATATAAAACATCTCTTAAATAGGTTATGAGCTATCACCATAAACATTAGGATGGTGTATATATGTGTTTATATATACAAACACACATTATATACCTATATAAACATGTATACATACATAATATATATATAACATAAATATGCACACCTATACATATATAATATATACACACATATACATGTATAAAAAACATTATGAAGTTAAAGGACTCTATATTGGACTGTATATTTACCTTTGCCATAGAACTTTATACATATACACACACACACACACACACACACACAAAAATATGCACACATGCCAGAAAATTAAAATAGAATTTACATGTGACACAACCATGTCACTACTAGGTAATTATCCAGAACAAATGAAAAGCAGAATTTTGAAAAGCTATTGGCAGACGTCTCACTCCTTCATGTATTACTGGCAGCACATCAGACTGACAGACAATATGACTTATGTGCAAAGCTTAATTATTTTTTCTCCTATGTAACTTGTGATCTGCTATTATTATACATTTATAGGATGGGGAGAGTAGCATAACTAGGTGTTAGGTCATAGCAAAATTTATTTTCCTAATTATTTTATATTGAAAATGTAATTATCTTTGAAATTATAAAAGTAATATTACGGTGTAGAAATAGTTAAAAAGATATTGATAAAGTGAGCATAAAACGATTATATTCCTTTAGTAACTGAAAGTATTGACTATACTTTGTAGTTAAGGCATAAAATATTGTGGCCATAACATTTTAGAAATAAAGTATTTATTATTTTGTAACTGAAACCCTTTCAGCTATGTTTCACTTTGTGGAGTATCTCTGTACCTTTCACTCAGGTTGTGTTTCCATTGTATTTCTTCACATTTGCATGCCGTTTACAATTCTTAATGGTTGCACTTTGTTTTTAGAGTCAGAATTCAGTGTAGGTTTATGGTGCAATAATGTAGTTCTAGGAATAAATATCACTTTTGTTCTTCTTTTGATACTCCACAGAAAAGCGTAGGGATATTTCTATAAAGAATCATGATTTTAGGCTTTGGACTTTTTCGATTTTTTTCTTTGTATGTTTTTCAAGCATATTCTTCCTTTGCTTTCTTACCAACAGTACCTTCAGATTCAGCTTGTATCTGTTTATACTGAAAATCCTCTATACGTCTATGTAGTATATAATTTTAGCCCTCCTTATATCCTTACTTTCTTACACTATGGATTAAGCAAAATATTTTTAATTACATAAACAATCATAACATGAATTTTATGTTTATCTGATGTACATGATTCAGAGTTATCTGCTTACTTTACTTCTGTAATCCCTCTCTATAATGAGTAAAATATAATTTAAAAGTTAAAACTTTATCTGAACCGTAATGTTGCTGAGTATCAACAGGTTCTGATCAATTTATATTCCATTGATATCACCTCACATTTATAATGTATAGTTAAAATTCAATTGAATTCAAAATCTTTACTAAGAAATAGTCATTATATATTTGTTTGAAAATTTGGAATATTACTAAATTTAAACCTCAACATAAGCAAGATTATTTGTATAAAATTACACTTCAATCACAGCTTTTATTTTTCCAATAGGTATCATTATTTCAGTTTTACTTCAATATAATAACTATAAATGCATTTTACCGGAAAAAAACGGAGAATCAGTAATAGCATCAGTCAATTCATATTGATGTATGTACACATATATTTTTAAAATATTTAAGAAATTCTCTTTAGTAATCATTGCATGCTTTCTCAAAATTAAATCTATATCATATGTATAAAACAAAAATGTCTCAATATTCTGTCAAACTAAGGTGTATATTCAGACTGAAAAGAATCACTTACGTAAAATTTGGAGTATGAATGATCTAACCCCTGCTACAGGTCCTGTATTTATTTCAACACACACTTTATGAGCACTGATGATGCTGGGTCATAGGCTAACCCCTCATGTTACAAAAATAAATTTTAACTCTAATAATTTTTTTCTCTCTTTCTCTTACTCATTCTCTCTCTTTCTCTGTGTTTTCATGTGTCTTTCACCTTTGCTTCTCAATACAGTACTTCACCACACTACCAGGTGGTATGTTAAAATGAAACAAATCACAGACAGTATTGCTCCATTCATGTATATATTTCTTAGTAAAAAGGCCTAATAAAGTGATGAAATGTATTCCAGCAAGCTCAGTACAATCCCACCTCTTTGATCTTTTAATCACTCCATGAGAAGCTCTGAGCACGTGTATAGTATATACAGGGATAAGTTCCTCTCTGCTGGTGTGTAATCATGACTTAGAATCAAAATACTTGCCTAAAAAACCAGTTGTGTAGATCCTTTGTGGAGTTGTGTAGATCCTTTGGCCTAGAGTTCTTTATGTAGCTACCCTAAATCATCTCTCTCAAGTTCAAAGTTCCATAAATCTCTAGGGCAAGATCAAAATGCCGCCAGTCTTGTTGCTAAAACATAACAAGTCACCTTTGCTCCAGTTCTTCATCCCCATCTGAACCCACCTCAGCCTGGACCTTATTGTTCATATCACTATCAGCATTTTTGTCAAAGATATTCAACAAGTCTCCAGGAAGTTCCAAACTTTCCCACATTTTCCTTCTGAGCCCTCCAATAGCCCTGATTATTGTATTAGTCCATTTTCTAGCTAGTGATAAAGTCATACCCGAGACTGGGAAGAAAAAGAGGTTTAATGGACTTACAGTTCCACATGGCTGGGGAAGCTTCATGATCATGGCAGAAGGCAAGGAGTCACATCTTACATGGATGGCCGTAGGCAAACAGAGACCTTGTGTAGGAAAACTCCCATTTTTGAAACCATCAGATCTCATGAGATTCATTCACTATCACGAGAACTGTGCAGGAAAGACCTGATATATAATTCAAGACCTTCCACTGTCTTCCTCCCATGACACATGGTAATTTTGTGAGTTACAATTCAAGATAAGATTTAGGTGGGGACACAGCCAAACAATGTCATCCAGTCTTAGGAAGTTCATTATAGTAGTGTGAGAATGGACTATTACAGTAAGTTGGTACTGAGGTAGTGGGGTATGGCTATAAAGATACCTGAAAATGTGGAAGTGACTTTGGAACTGGATAACAGGCAGAGACTGGAATAGTTTAAAATGCTCAGGAGAAGATAGAAATATGTAGGAAAGTTTGGACCTTCCCAGAGAATGGTTGAATAGTTTTGACCAAAATACTGATAATGATGTTGCCAATGAATTCTAGGCTGAGGCAGTTTCAGATGGAGATGAGAAACTTTTGGAAAACTGGAGCAAAGGTAACTCTTGCAATGCTATAGCAAAGACATTGGCACCATTTTGCCCCTGCCCTAGAGATCTATGAAACTATGAAGATGAGAGAGATGATTTAGGGTATCTGGCAGAAAAAAAAATCTAAGCAGGAAAGAATTTAAGAATTGACCTGTTTGATTTTGAAAGCATTCATTCTTATGTGTTCACGAAAAGACGGCTTGAAATGGGAACTTATGTTAAAAAGGAGAGCAGAGAAAGATTTGTGGTTGAAAGTTTGAAAGATTTGCAGGCTGACCATGTAGTAGAAAAGAAAAACTCATTTTCTAGGGAGGAGTTCAAGCCAGCTTCAGAAATTTGCATGAGTAATGAGGAGCCAAATGTTAATCACAAAGACAATGGGGAAAATGTCTTCAGAGCATGTCAGAGTTCTTAATAGCAACCCCTCCATCACAGATCTGGGAGCCTAGGAAAGAAAAGTGGTCCACTGCTGTTCTGTGCAGCCTTGGGACTTGGTGCTCTGTTTCCCAGCCATGGCTAAAAGGTACCAAGGTGTGGCTAAGCCCATTATTTCAGAGGCTGCAAGTTGCAATCCTTGTTGGCTTCCACGTGCTGTTGGGCCTGGGAGTCCACAGAAGTCATGAACTGAGGTGTGGGAACCTCCACCTACTTTTCAGAGGATGTACGGAAATGCCTGGATGTCTAGGCAGAAATCTGCAGCAGGGATGAAGCCCTCATGGACAACCTCTGCTTGGGCAGTGCTAAAGGGAAATAAGGGGTTGGAGTATCCACATTGAGTCTGCACTGGGACACTGTCTACTGGAGGTGTGAGAAGTGGGTCACCATTCTCCAGATCCCAGAATTGTGGATTCACCAAAAGCTTGCACCACACACCTGGAAAAGCCACAGACACTCAACACCAGCCTGTGAAAGCAACTGGGAGGGTGATTGCACTGGGCAAAGCCACAGCAGCATAGCTGCCCAAGACCATGGGAGCTCACCTCTTGCATCAGCATGACTGGATGTAAGACATGAAGTATAAAGGAGATCATTTAGGAGCTTTAAGATCTAATGACTGTTCCACTAGATATCTCATGTACATGGGGAGTATAGCCCCTTTATTTTGGTCAATTTCTCCTATCTGAAATAAGAGCATTTATCCAGTGCCTGTACCCTCATTGTATACTGGAAGAAACTAATTTGCTTTTGATTTTACAGGCTTCTAGGTTGAAGGAAATTGCCTTATTTCACATTAGGTATTGGATATGAACTTTTGAGTTAATGCTGAAATGAGTTAAGACTTTGGGGGACTGTTGAATAGGTATGATTGATTTTGTAATGTAAGGAAATGAGATTTGGAAGGGGCCGGGGGAAATGCTATGGTTAGGCTTTATGTCTTCACTAAAATCTCATTATAAATTGTAAACCCCATAATCCTTATACATCAAGGAAGAAACCACATGGGAGGAAATTGGATTATGGAGGCAATGTGCCTCCCGTGATAGTCTTGTGATTGTAAGTTATCATGAAATCTGATGGTTTTATAAGTGTCTGACAGTTTTTTCCCTCACACACTCATTCTCTTGCCTGCCACTATGTAAGATATGGCTGCTTCCCCTTCTACCATGATTGTAAGTTTCATGAAGCCTCCTCAGTCATGTGGAACTGTGAGTCAATTAATCCTCTTTCTTTTATAAATTATCCAGTCTTGGGAAGTTCTTTCTAGCAGTTCGAGAATGGGCTAATACATAAGGATTTAGTCATAAATTGTTTCCAAAGGCGAATGTCCAGAATGGTGTCTTCTAGGTTTTCCCTTAAGATTCTTACAGTTTGAGATTGTAGAGTTAAATCTTTAATTCATTGCCTTAGGCCATTCTTGCATTGTTATGAATTAATACATGTGGTTGCATAACTTATGAAGTAAGGAATTATAATTGGCTCACAGTTTAGTATACTGTATAGCATGACCCCAGCATCCACTTCTAGTGATGGCTTCCTGAAGCTTACAATCATGGAAGAAGGTGAAGTTAAGACTTTGGGGAACTGTTGGAAGGACATAATTGTATTTTGAAATGTTAAGACATGAGATTTGGAGGGGCCAGGAGCAAATGATATGGTTTGGCTGTGTCTCCACCAAAATCTTATCTTGAGTTGTTGTTCTCATAATTCTCATGTGTCATAGGAGGGACCCAGTGGGATGTAATTGGATCATGGGAGTGGTTTCCCCCATGCCATTCTCATAAAAGTAAGTTCTCACAAGAATTGATGGTTATATTAGGGGCTTCCCTCTTTTTGCTGCTCTCATTCTTGTCCTCGTTGCCACCATGTGAAAAAGAATATGTATACTTTTCCTTCTGCCATGATTGTAAGTTTCCTGAGGCTTCCCCAGCCCTCTGGAATTTTGATAAATTAAACCGCTTCTTTATAAGTTACCCAGTCTTGGGTATGTCCTTATAGCACATGAGAGCAGACTAATACATCATAGAAAAATCTAGTTCTTAAAAAAAGTCTTCAACTTACCTTCTCTCTCTTGCTTCCACTCTCCCTTTTACTCAAGCAAACCTCTCTAGCAAGTTAATGCTCTGAAGCCCACTTGAATAACTCTACTGAAAGCTATTTTCATTTCAACATCATGGCCATTCTGAGAATTTTCCAAACTTTTATGCTCTTTTTTTTCCTTTTAAATACACATTCTAACTTTAGGTTCTTTCCTTGCTTCTATATCTTATCATAGGCTGTTAGAAACAGACAGGTCACCTCTTGAATGCTTTGCTTCTTAGAAATCTCTTCCACCCAACACTCTAAGTCATCACCCTTAAGTTGAAACATTCAGAAAGCCCTAGGACATGATCATAATGCAGCCAAGATTTTTGGTAGGGTGTAACATGGGTGACCCTTATTCTGGTTCCTCATATCTTCCTCATTTTCACCAGGGACCTTCTCAGTGTGGCCCTCACTGTCAATATTTCTGTCAGCATTTTGGTCACAAACATTCCACCAGTCTCAAATGAGTTCCAAACATTTTCTCAGCTTCCTTTCTTCTTCTAAGCCCTCAAAACCCATCCAACCTTAGACCGTTACCCATTTCCAAAGCTACTTCCACATTTTCAGGTATCTCTATGCCAACATGCTACACTTGGTATCAATTTTCTGTGTTAGGCTATTTTTAGCATTGCTATAAAGTAATAAATTAGGCTGGGTGCTATGGTTTGAATTTGTATTCCTGTACAAATCTCATATTGAATTGGAAAAGGGGCCTGGTGGGAGGTGACTAGATCGTGGAGGTGGATTTCCTCCTTGCTGTTCTCTTGATAGTGAGTGAATTTTCATGAGATCTGATAGTTTAAAATTTTGTGTTACTTCTGCCTTTGCTTTCTCTCTCTCTCTCTCTCTCTCTCTCTCTCTCTCTCTGTCCCTCTGTCTCTCTCTCGGTGTCCTGCCACCATGGAAGATGTGTTTGCTTCCCCCTTTACTTTCTCCAGATTTTTAGTTTTCTGAGGTCTCCCAGTCATGCCTTCTGTTACAGCTATGGAACTGTCAGTCGTTAAACCTATTTTTTTCATAAATTGCCCAGTCTTACATAGTTCTTCAGAGCAGTGTGAAAATAGACTAATATGCTGAATAATTTATAAAGAAAAGAGGTTTAATTGGTTCACAGTTCTTTAGGCTGTGCAAGTTTGTCTCCAGTATCTGCTTCTGGTGAGGACTACAGAAAGCATACAATCGTGATGGAATTTATAGAAGGAGCCATTGCATCACATGGCAAGGGTGGGATCAAGAGAGAGAAGGGATGTTCCCAACTGTTTGAAGCAACCAATTATTGTGTGAATTACCTGAGTGACAGTTAACTTATCACCAAGGGGATTGTGCTAAATCATTCAATAATGCTTCACTCCCATAATCCAGTCACCTTCCACTGTAACAAAAGAGGGTCTGGTTGCTCACCACTTGTAGAAAGAAGCCAAAATAGTAAAAGCAGGATATAATAAGAAAGACAGTAAATTTTATTACTGTTGTCAGCAAAGGGGAAAGTGGCCAGAAGCACTTTCAAAATTTACCACTTCTTTCAAAATTTACTACTTCTCAATTTCTGTAGATAGGGCAATGATTTAAGAAGAAGGGCTTGGAATGCAGAAGAGGCAAGGTGGGTTCGGATGTGCCAGGTTGTGTGACACACTCCAGTGGTTTATCTTGAATTATTGTTCCATCTAGTGAAGGGGAGAACATTATGTGCTCAACCTGGTTACAAATTAATCACAGAGAATCTTGCAGTTACTCTAACTGGGAGTGAACTCCAGCCTTGAAGTAATCTCCTGTTGGGAAGAGAATTCCAGAAATGCCTGCAGCATGTTAGGATTTGATCCCTGAAGCTTCTAACCGGTATATAGTCAGATAAGTTATCATGGTGTGTGCTTAACAGGCATCTAGGTAAATTAATGTGCAGAAGGCATGGGAGCTTAAAGTGGGAAAGGAGAGTGGAGTTTTAAAGCACATTCTCATGCTCTATTTCAAGATGAAAGAATACACATCTGTTGATTGTTGGAAAGCTGTGTCTTGAGACTGGAGAGAAAGAGGAAATAAAAAAGTTTTTAAAATGTGGTTTGAAGCTAAGCTGCTTGGTTACACACTGATATAATTTTTGCAAAGGTGATTTTAATATCTCTTTTGGCTTTCATACATCTTATTCTTAAGTTTGTGGACATAGAGATAAAAAAGCGTGAAAATCAATCTAGTTTCTTCCTGCTGATAGGAGCATAGTTAAGGATTTAATCACAGGGAAATAGGAGGGAAATCACTGCTATGCAGCTATCTGCATGTACTCATGGTTGTATAACAAAGATGTTAATATTCTCACCCACAGTTCTAGTACAGCACTTAAGTGAACAATAGACTATAGGTTTTTAGAAAGACAGATTCAGTTAAATAAGAAGAGCAAACTTAAATATATCATCCTATATCTATTTAGTCAGTGTTCTAGGCCTGAGACTAGATGAGTTCAGTTAAACAAATGTTTCTCATATCTGTTTAAGGAGGCAGCATTGAAGATAAGCTAAGCTTCTGTATCTATGAAAGAAAACAGATATTTAATAAAGGCATTTATGTAGAGACAGCAGAAAAACAAAAGGTTAATGTTTGGCACAATTTCTCTATACATTAGACTTAAAGGATTTTTGTTTAAAGAGGAGGAAGGTAGTATCAATTTCACATGCTTTTTTCTCACCTGTATTACAAAGAATCAAGGCCTCAGAAAAGATGTAGTAACAATTTTATTGAGGCCAAGTCAGAAAAAGAATTAAAATATAATTTGCAAGCATTAGTTTTGGGACTTGTAACCAAGAAAAAATTCAGGATTAAGTGCACAGTGTATAAAATATTAAAAACTCAAAAATAATAGACAGGACAAATCTAACAACAGGTGTGCTATATTATTTTCCTGAAGCACAGTTTTTCTTTCTTCAATTCCCATTTTTACTGAAGAAAAAAAATAGTAGGACAAATATATTTGCATAAAGTAAAAAAAAAATTCCTATTTTACTTGGCCTGGGTTTTTGTATAAAGTTAGTCAGAATAATTATTTGCCTTATAGAATTCTTAAAATTAGCTTTGCTGGAACTTTAGTCCATAAGAAATATTAGCTTAGACTTTTCAAACCCTTCAGCCCAGCCACGGATTTATCTGTGCCTGCAAATATCAGTATGGGTTGGATGAATTTCTCACCTTGAGGTCCCAAGATAATGTGGGGCTCCTGAGACTGTCAGAAAGTGACATTCTTTACTTGCCATAGGGAAGAAATTCTTACAAGAATCGTGTAGACCAGTTAAGAGGTCAGATTTACCAAGGGGTTTTATTGGCTCTATTAGTCAACTTTGATCCCTAAAAGCAATCTGAAAGTATTCCATTCGAGTTAGAGCTTTGGTATATATTTCCTAATAGTGTCCTGTTATTAAAAAGAAAAAAAAAGATTCTTATTTAACTTACACAAATAACTATACTGTCGTAAATTAAGTATGCTTACAATGAGTCTTCAAATTCTGGAGAAATCAGGTAGAGAGAGAAATACGTTTTAAATTTTGCCTAAAGGAGTGTACTTTACCCAATTGTTAAACGTTGTATGTGGCTCAAAAGAAAAAAAAAGTTTTCTAATCTCTAAAAAGAAAAATAATTAGCTATGTTTCAAACAAAAATCCACAAAAAAAATTTTTATCTTTCATTAGTTAGGTTTGGTTAGTTTACTCATGTTGTTTTCAATATTATCTCTCTACGAAAATCTGGGAATTTTTGTCCTCTATTCTAATGTAAAGAACACCACTGTTATCAGGTAAATGAGTCACAACAACCTTACATACAATCTGCTTAAACATCTCAAATTTTGTAATCCTCTCAACATTTACAATTTTATGTTCTGATCCCAGGAGCTTTTCTTCTTTATCTTCAAACAAATTTAACTTTCTGGTAAAAATAAAATCTCCCAGAATAGGGTTGAGCCAAGATTCTCAAGCCCTTTTGTCAATCTCTATCTAAACTTGCCTCAACATTGCCACAGGCAATGTCAGCTTTCCCATTAGATTACAAATTATGCTTTAAAAAAAAAACTTATCCAATCTAAGGCAAATACAAAAAAAACTGGTGTAGGTCCCTTTGATGTTTGGGGACCAGCAGGAGCTCCCTTTGGTTCACCCCACCTTTGATAGCATTTTGTGCCCAGGTAGAAGGGGCCCACTTAACCATAGCCTTTACTATGACCAGGGTAATAGGTATATTTAGTTGAATAATATTCTGGTATTGATAAAGCCAGTCCCATATGGCTTGTATACGAAGCATATCAGTTGCTTCATCTGGGGAACTCCACCTGGAATTTTACAGGGTGAGTTGGGCAGTCTCTTTCTCAGGGTAATCAAACTTAACAATGGCAATTATTCTGTCCACTAGGCTGGTTGTTTTCTCAGGAATAAACTTTTGTGAAGCTGGGTCACATATACTCTTCAGTGATTATTTAATCCTGAGCTGTGGGACCTGCATAAACTCATGCTCTTTCATTCTGTAGCACTTAAAATAAAAAATATTGTCCTTAAAGTAGTTATTTTTCCAATCCATTATAGTAAAGGTTTCTCAGAAACTGATTATATTACTCTACAAAATGGAGCAATTTCTTTACATTACACCCTCTGGGTTTAATAGTTAACTTGGCTTTCCCTTTCCCCACATTGACTAGAGGTTCTTGGTAACTACAGGTCTCAAAAGTAGCTTTGTTGCCCTGGCTTAAGATGTGTATGTTTGTGTGTGTGTGTGTGTGTGTGTGTGTAGCTTTGAGGCTAGTGGCCTGAGCTGAGAAAGACCCACATAAATTTGGTCCAGCCTTAAGGCAAAACCCAGCACTCTTTTACTTTCATTTTAGCGATTACAGATAGCAATAACTGAGGGAATTAACATTTTGTAGTTTTCTTATTAGTTTACATTTTGTTATGCATTCACTGAACTAACTCCCTGGGAGTGTGGCTATCATCCATCTCTAAATTTCCACTGGTAACTTTGACCTTTAGTAACTGAATGCAGCCCAGCTGCAGCTCCTGAAGGTGGGTGACCGTGTAGCCACCCAAGAGTCAAAAGTTTCTCATTCCCTGAGTTTTCATTTTTCTCTTTATCCATTTGGTCTTATCTATCTATCTATCTATCTATCTATCTATCTATCTATCTATCTACCCCATCATTTTTTTTCTTGAGATGGAGTATCTCTCTGTCTCCCTGGCTAGAGTGCAGTGGCAAGATCTCAGCTCACTGCAAGCTCTGCCTCCCAGGTTCACACCACTCTCCTGCCTCAACCTCATGAGTAGCTGGGACTACAGGTGCCTGCCACCATGCCCAGCTAATTTTTTGTATCTTTTTTTGGTAGAGATGGGGTTTCACTATGTTAGACATGATGGTCTCAATCTTCTGATGTCATGATCCACCTGCCTTGGCCTCCCAAGGTGCTGGGATTTCAGGCATGAGCCACCACACCTGACCCATCCTTCTGTTTTTATAAACCTCACCCAAAAAAACCTTTGTATTCTACAACTATTTTAACTCTCAGTAACATAAATTCTCAGTGACCATACTGAGGGTTACTTAATTTAACATAACATGACTCAGATTTTATACTATTAGAGAGAATTTTGAGATTAAATTTTCCAAATTAATGTTACCAAATACTACTATAGTCATGTGAACTCAAAGGTATCCAAGCTAGCTTTTGTTAGTGTGATAAGCGCTTAACTTTTCTTTAAGTCAATTGATTAGAGCTCTTTCATATATTTTGATATTGAAATATCACTTCCACATGACGCAAGTAATATATAAATATAACAGAGATACAGACAAAGGCAGATGTTGGGAACAGGCCCCCCAATTTGGCCATAAACTGACCCCAAAACTGGCCATAAACAAAGTCTCTGCAGCACTGTGACATGCTTGTGATGGCCATGACACCCACACTGGAAGGTTATCAGTTTACTGGAATGAGGGCAAGGAAGACCTGGTCCACCCAGGGCAGAAAAGTGCTTAAGGCATTCTTAAAGCACACATAATAGCATGAGCGATCTGTGCCTTAAGGACATGTTCCTGCTGCAGATAACTAGCCAGAGCCCATCCTTTGTTTTGGCCCATTACTTTATTTCGCATAAGGAATACTTTTAGTAAATCTTATCACTGGCTTGCTGTCAATAAATATGTGGGTAAGTCTCTGTTCCAGGTTCTCAGCTCTGAATCCTGTGAGACCCCTAATTTCCCACTCCACACACTATATTTCTGTGTGTTTGTGTCTTTAATTCCTCTAGTGCCACTGGGTAAGGGTCTCCACAACTGAGCTGGTCTGGGCAGGCAGATCCAAAAAATGTTTTTCATTTGCCTGTTTTCAAAAACTGTCTCCCTTACTTCAGACTATGAATAAAAAGAAATGTTACAGGATTCAACAAAAGTTTAAGGAGAGAGTTACCATCCCAGGCCTTCTCAAAAGGAAGGAAGAGCTGAAGCAGCAGGATATAGCAGAAACTAAACTTCTACTAATCAGATTACACAGTTTAAAAAATGAAATATTCTTGCATTAACTCAATATTTTAATATAATTTTTATAACCAATTCATTAGTTTTGTATTAGTTTAATTTTAATATTAAAGTCCAATTACCAGAAAGACTATTATAATCTCTTTTTAGTTATAGCCAACTTACTCATATATATTTCATATATGTATTTAAAATAAATTTCATTTTACTAAACTTACTATGACTTACACAGATTATTCATAACATACTTGGCTTTGGGGTTTGTCTTAAACATCCATCTTCTTCAACAACCTGTTATTTTATTTTAGAACAAAAATATACAATACAAGATTTGTCTTCATGTAATCTTTCTTACCAAAGGTACCTTTTTATATGTATGTTTCTTTAAATATCTCTTATTCCCTAGTTTCTTTTGCCTTGTATAATATATACACTTTAAATAACTGTTGAACTAGAAAAATAATTGTCTTTTAATAAGAAAACATTTTTTAAAGTTTCCTTATAATTTTTGAAATCAAAAATTACCCATACATTTAACAAATATCTATTATTTAATATAGCTTTAGATTCCAAATTATATGACTTTCATTTTATCATAGTCATATAATAAATTTATTTAATAGTTTGCCTAGATTATTTATAAAAAGTGTAACAGTCATCCCTTAGTTATTTTTTAACTATGTTTATACCCTATGAATTTCAGGTATTTACCTAAGAAACTTAAGGTTAAATATATGGGTATTTTTCCAATAACTCAGGATTTAGTTGCTCTCATTAAGCCAATAATATTAAATGTTTTCTTTACTAAAAATTACACAAGCAAAGATCATTTAGTTTGGTGCTGGGTTCACAGTTTTATAAACCTTATGCCAAATTTTGGCACCTTACAATATTTGGCAGGAAACAAAAATATTTGGCAAGACTAAGTATGAAACCACTTGATCAATAAGTGGAAAGAAAAATGCTAACAATTCTTAAGACATCTCTAATATTAGTTTACCAACAATTTCAAAGCTAGTTTTTTCTTTAAAAATTTTACTTAATTCACATAGACTTGAAAAGCCATTAGGTTTATTATTTCCTTAATTTCTGAGATCTCCTTAACTTTAATTTTATTTGGTTCCTTGTAGCTATAACACATAAAAAATACACGTATGTACAGATAAACAGACACAAACACCCTCATACAAAGATTCTACAGCTTTTACTTTAGAACTCCAGACATGAGATATTGATACAAACTCACTGGTTTACAAATAATAATAATAAGAAGAAAAAAAAAACAAAATAATGGTTCTAGCCAAAAAGTGATTTTTTTTTTCCTCAGTAGAAAACTAGCAGTAGACATAAAGCAGGTAGAAAAAAGAAAAATAGAGAACATAAAAACTTTATAGTTACATGTAAGCCTTTGGGTCTAAATTTTCACTTAGTGTAATTGGGCCATCAGTTTAAAATGTGCAAAACAGAACATAATATGTAACTATCTAGAGCCCTAGAAAGTCTGATATTCCATTATGACATAGTTATAAAAAACTACCTGAGACTGGGTAATTTATGAAGAAAAGAGGTTTAATTGACTCACATTCCACAGGGTATATAGGTAGCATGACTGAAGAGGCCTAAAAAAACTTATAATCATGCAAGAAGGTAAAGTGGAAGCCAACATATCCTACATTCCTGGAGCAGCATGAAGATGGGGTTTGGTAATACACCCTTTTAAACAACCAGATCTCATGAGAGCTGTATCACAAGACAACACTAGGAAGATGGTGCAAAAACATTAGAAATCACTCCCATGATTCAATCACCTCCTACCAGCCTCCACCTCTAGCACTGAAGATAACAATTTGTAATAGTTAATTCTCACACGGCTAATAAAGACATACCCAAAACTGGGTAAATTATACAGAAAAAAGGTTCAGTGGATTCACAGTTCAGCATGGCTGGCGTGGCCTCAGGGAACTTACCATCATGGCAGAAGGGGAAGCAAACATGTCCTTTGAGCAAAAGGGGGAAAAGCCCCTTATAAAACCATCAGATCTCATGAGAACTCACTCACTATCATGAGAACAGTAGCATGGGAATAACCACCCTCATGATTAAATTACCTCCCACTGGGTCCCTCCCAAAACACATGGGGATTATGGGAACTACAATTCAAGATGACATTTGGATGGTGACACAGCTGAAACATATCACAATTTAACATGAGATTTGGGTGGGAACATAGAGCCAAACTGTATCATTCTAGCCCTGAACCCTCCCAAATCTCATGTCCTTCTCACATTTTAAAACAAAATCATGCCTTCTCCACAGACTCCCAAAGTCTTAACACATTCCAGCATTACCCAAAATGTCCAAATAGTAGGTCTCATCTGAGACAAGGCAAGTCCCTTCCACTTATGAGCTTGGAGAATAAAAAACAAGAGAGTTACTTCCAAGATCCAGTGGGGATACAGCAACTGAGTGAATGTTCCCATTTTAAAAGGAAAATGTTGACCAGAATCAAGGGGCTCCAGGCCCCAGGCAACTCCTAAACCCAGCAGGGCCCTCATTAAATCTTAAAGCTCCAAAATAATTTCCTTTGACTCTATGTCTCACATCTATGGCACACCAGTGCAACGGGAGGGCTCTCAAGGCTTTGGGCAGCTCTGGCCCTGTGGATCTGCCTGTCTTTTCCTCATCTTCCTGTCTTTTTCTGAGCCTTCCAAACTGTTTCAACCTCTGCCCATTACCAAGCTCCAAAGTTGCTTCCACATCTTCAGGTATCTTTATAACAATGCCACACCTCTCTAGTTTTCTGTATTAGTTTGCTGTCACATTGTTCTCACATCTTCTGTATTACTTTGTTCTCACATTTGTTCTCATATTGCTATAAAGAACTACTCAAGATTGGGTAATTTATGAAAAAAAGGGGTTTAAATTACTCACAGTTCCCCAGGCTGTATAGGTACTATGGCTGAGGAGACCTCAGGAAACTTATAATTATGAGAAGGTGAAGGGGAAGCCAACATGTCCTGCCTGACTGGAGCAGGAGGAAGTTGGGGGGAGCGCTACACACTTTTAAACAACCAGATCTTCTGAAAACACTATGATAAGACAGCACTAAGGGGGTGGTCCTAAATCATTAGATGGGGAAGGCCCCCAAACTTCTCCGTTTTACACACATGCTTGCAAATGGGAGCCGCATGAAACCAAAAAATTGCCCCAAAAGAGTTTTGTCCTTGTCTTTCCTCATTCTTATATATTTTCCCACTTTTTTTCTTAAAAGGAGGAACCAAACTGTGTCCTAGGGTTTTTTGTGTGGTGCATCAATGCGTGCTGATTGTAAGTGAGACTCCACATGTTTTAACGTTGAGTTGTTTCTGCCTTCTTACATGTCTTAGTGAATCTTTGAAATGCTTGTTCTTCAGTGCCGTAAAGAAAAGAAATAGCACTCGAACATAAATTTAATTTCTTCAGCAAGACCATTTTTTTTTCTTTTTTTTTTCCTTTCTGCAAAAAGGGTGCACTCACCAGCAGTTTAGTCATGAAAGTACACCAAACAGAGGATACAGGGTCATTTATAACTTGATGCATCCACCTTACTGCTGTGTCCTGTTTCTACTGGAAGGAATAGGACCTCATATTCTGTGTTTGTCCTGATTGGCTAGCAACTTAGAACTTTTTAAAAGAGGCAAAGGCAGAGGAGAACAAAGGAAGGTGGAAGTAACTTGTGGAATGCTGAGAAAGGTAAAAACACCTTCAAATAAGCAATAGGACAAGTCTATGACCTAACGCTTTCTTGGACCAGTGCAAGCATGCCAGGGCAAATATTTAGGCTAAATTGTGGGAGCTAAGAACATAAAGTACATTGATTTCTTTATTACGGCTAGTGAATATTTAAGAATGTTAGCACAGGTCTTTGAATAAATTTTGCTTCTAAGACAAGTTACTATTTATTCTCAATTAGATGAGGAGGAAAGTCTTTGAAGAGGCACCTCTACTTTACTTTTTACAGTAAAGCAGACTAGGGTCACTGGAGCAGTTTTGTTGTTTGAGGTATTACCAGGAGTTCTGGAAAGGGTTGTCCTTTCACAGTTGAATGCAAAGACTCTTATAAAAAAAAAAAGGAAGAAAGAAAGCTAATGGGGCAGAGTGTTTCATTTGTGTAAGACATGAAAAACTGGTTAGGATTGGATGTCTTCTTTGCATATATACAAATTATCGTTAGCTCCACTTCTTCCCTCTAGTGTGCACGCAGGTCCTTAGCCTGACTTAGTGCATGTTGTTTTATTTTGCTTATTTGGTATGTGTCACTGCGGATGTGTCTGGTTCTGTGTAACTTTCTTTATGTATACAGCTACAGGTCTGTCTTAGACAAGCACTCTGTGCAAGTTCCTTTATACGAGTATGCCTGAAAATAAAAGGTATGTGATCACTGAAGGCCACCATGTACAGGCAGAGCTCACTTGTTGCACAGAAGACAAAGGCTTTGGACTTTGCTTCCTTATCTGCGCTTGCAGCTTGATTTCTTCCACACTGTTATTTTTTGGGGGAGGACTTCTACCAAGAAACTTGTCCAAACTATTTGCCTAACTGGTTCCTTATTTTCTTTTCTCTCATTAGTTTCTCTCTCCAGACAGCTATCACCTCCATGAGGGCTCAAAACACTGAGTGATCAGCTCTTACATGCATTTTCTAGATGAGCTTTTTTAAACTCGTTGTGTTGGCAGGGGTTCTCTGTTTGGCCACTATACATCATGAAGTTTTAACATCCCAGACATTCCAAGTGGGCCCCCTTGGCTGGGAGGAGTAAAATGCCCTTTCTCTTCAGAGCTGAGGAGCTCAGTCTCTGGTCTCTCATTTATCTGTGAAAATAATAGTTCAGCTTCTCATACAAAAGTGCAGAGAAGCCTTTTGAGCTTATATTTGGGAAAAAAGGCAATGGAGAGGACCCTTTAGAATGAACTCCTGAAGTATAATTAGGATTCTAAAAGACAACCTCCAAGGAGAAAAAAAAGAAAAAATGTTCAGAATAAATCAAGGACTATATACCGAAAGGAGATCCAGGACTCAAGAGGACATACCAGTTCCACTGGAGAAGAAGCTCAAAATTGGAGAGGCATTCAGTGGGCCTCTGTTGCTACCTTAGCTTCAAGTTCAGGCAAGTTTTATGGTGTCCTGAGTTTTGTCTGAGGCCCCACATGTTCAAGTGTCAAGTTGTTATTGATGAAAAGAGTCGAACACTTTAAAATATTTAAAGAGGTTTATTCTGAGCCAAATATGAGTCAGTAATGGCCTGTGATTTATCCCTCCAGAGACCCTAAGAACATGTCATCATGGTGCTCAGGCTACACAGTTTTAATGCAATTTAGAGTGACATTAGACATCAATCCATACATGTAGGTTATATATTGACTTGGTCTGGATAGGCAGGACAACTGGGAGTGGGGCTTCCAGGTCATAGGCAAATTCAAGGATTTTCTATTGGCAATTGGTTGAGTTATATTGTTGTCTAAGTTATAGAATTAACAGACAAGAATGTCTGGGTTAAGATAAAGGGCTGTTAATACCAAGGTGTTATCATGCAGATAAAGCTGTCAAGCAACAGGCTTCAGAGAGAATAGATTGTAAATGTTTCTTATCAAAATTAGTGAGTCTGTTCTATTGGTTTTAAAGTCTGCGTTGATGGTAGTGCTAGTGAGTTTTTCCTGAATTCAGAAAGGGGGGAGGGTATAATGAGGCATATCCTATCCCACCACCCCACTTCTCATCATTGCCTCAACTAGTTTTTGAGATTAACTTTGAAATGCTCTTTGCTGAGAGTAAGGGTCCGTTTAGATGGTTGGGGATTCCTAAAATTTTATTTTTTGTTCACATCTACATACAGTTGTTGAAAATTTGAACAGTAACTACAGGAAAAATAACCCAGTTAGATGATATTGATTCTGAAAACTGCTCTAAGTTTTGTGCATAATATTTTACCTAATGTCATTATCAAACTTCTGCTTATTAAGACAGAAACCACAACCATGTCTTTTCTCCTACACATTTTTTCCTATCTCAGATATTATCAGTAAATTCAAATTTTAAATTAATTTCTTGCATTTAACTATTAACAATTTATGTTTCATTCTATTAGGTTGACATGTCTCAGTAACTAATATATAATTTTTATCGTTTTCCCTGTTTTAAACTCTTACCTTTACATACCACTCTGTGTTGAGATGCAAGAGTTTCTTGCTAAAGAAAAGGTTGATCTTGTGACTATCCTTTAAAACTTGAGTAAATAATTATTTGCCTATAAATTATGATTCAAACTCATAATTTTTTATTTAAAATTATGTTCTCCAATTTCAAACTAACTTTCTTCTGTAACGTCCTGCTCTGAACTTTCTCTGTGACCACTACTCACTGGAATGATTTTCAAATATCCTATACTTTTGTATGCTTCTATCGATTGTGAAATGCTTCCTTTGGCAACAGTAAATCCTATCAAAGCTTTCATCTCACCTCCTAAGTCAAATGCCTTATTAAAGCTTTTATTATTTCATATTAAAGCAATTGTGCATTTTCCCCTCTGAAATACTGAACACTTTGTACTTATTATATAAAATTAGTCAAAATAGTTACCCAAACTCTCTAAGTATATTCTCAGTAAACCTTTGTATTGTCCTTGTGAGCAAGGGATGTGAAACATGTGCTGTCCTAAACCATCTGATGCCTTGGACTTAGTGTGGAATGAATGTAAGTGTGATTGTGTGCATGTTTCTGCACATGAATTATTAAATCTAAAGACTTGAAAAATTTTTTTCTTTATCATCAATCCAGGTAATAAAAGTATATTTATGTATTTTATTTCTAAGTTCTAGAGGGTTGGAACAACTTTTCCCTGATACATTGCATTTTTTTGATACCTTCAGTACATGTTAAACTGGCAACCACCAGTGAACTTTACTCTTAAAATATTAATTTTTAACTTCTGTGCTTATATTGTCATTTCAACTCCTTGCTTAGTAACTACAAAACCATTGCAGATCAGTGTGTGAGGGAACTGCCATCATGAGGTCTGACAAGTCAGCTTTGGTATTTCTGCTCCTGCAGCTCTTCTGTGTTGGCTGTGGATTCTGTGGGAAAGTCCTGGTGTGGCCCTGTGACATGAGCCATTGGCTTAATGTCAAGGTCATTCTAGAAGAGCTCATAGTGAGAGGCCATGAGGTAACAGTATTGACTCACTCAAAGCCTTCGTTAATTGACTACAGGAAGCCTTCTGCATTGAAATTTGAGGTGGTCCATATGCCACAGGACAGAACAGAAGAAAATGAAATATTTGTTGACCTAGCTCTGAATGTCTTGCCAGGCTTATCAACCTGGCAATCAGTTATAAAATTAAATGATTTTTTTGTTGAAATAAGAGGAACTTTAAAAATGATGTGTGAGAGCTTTATCTACAATCAGACGCTTATGAAGAAGCTACAGGAAACCAACTACGATGTAATGCTTATAGACCCTGTGATTCCCTGTGGAGACCTGATGGCTGAGTTGCTTGCAGTCCCTTTTGTGCTCACACTTAGAATTTCTGTAGGAGGCAATATGGAGCGAAGCTGTGGGAAACTTCCAGCTCCACTTTCCTATGTACCTGTGCCTATGACAGGACTAACAGACAGAATGACCTTTCTGGAAAGAGTAAAAAATTCAATGCTTTCAGTTTTGTTCCACTTCTGGATTCAGGATTACGACTATCATTTTTGGGAAGAGTTTTATAGTAAGGCATTAGGTAAGACACTTTTGTTTTATTTTTAATTTAGTTATCAAAAGAAATATTTTTAAAAATTGTCATACATTGTCTATGACATATATATGCAGGTCAATGAGTTTTTTTAGAAAATGTTGTAGCTGTTTTTCATAAAGAAAGTGTATTTGTTCTAAGCGTAAGATAACCTACTTTCTTAATACCAGTAATATACTTAAAAATGATCATCAATAACTAAGAGATTATATTTTGTATTTCCTCCAAATAGCGCAAATCAACATCACATATTTTTGAGAATCACTGATTGTTAGTCTGAATTTTATAGAATTTCTATTGAAATAAAATGCTAATCATTATTTTCTCTCTCATCATGTATTTAAGAAAATCTTCAGAAGGTCTTCTTTGAATTAATTTTTCAAGAGTCATTAAATTGAACATTTTCTAGAATTCTTTAATTTCTTAGGTGATTACTTCACAAAAACTTGAAAAAATATTATAAAAAGTTAAAAGACTTACGGTCTTGTGGGGCATAAGATAGTAGAATTTTTACTTTACTGATATACACCTACTTGACTTATTTTTATTTCCTTGCTTTACTGATAAAAAGTTGTTTTGCTTTGCAATTTTCATATAGTTGTGATCAGAGCTGGTCAATGCAAGACATGTTTTTATCCAAATATGTTTGAGAATTATGTAGAAACATGAAAAAAGGTACAATTATATTCGACACTAAAATATTGTTTAATGTATTCCAACGAATTCTTATGCATAGACTGTTTCACAGAACTAATATTCAGAGGATCCCAGTTCAAATGTCCTTAGCCTTAGACATGATTTGAATTTACATGTATTGATTTGCTTTAAATAATTTTCCATTCAGTAAGCTGTGCCTAGCTGCAGATAGCCTACCAGGCTTTATGGATCTAGGTAAACAATACAAATCTCTTGGCCTCAAGTCTACATTCAGATATTAATTTAAAGGGGTACAGCTATATAGAGGTCACTGGCAAATTTTGGTAAAATAGGATTATAGTAAAAGCCCCCTGACAAGATTGAAATTTAAAATAAAACAAAAGTGTTATCAAAGGGGTGAAAGAGCATTTTCCAATAAACAAAAGTGGGTTCTGGCCATGCATTCAGAAATTCCCCAACAATTCTTTAAAAATCATGGAGCAGCTTGATATATAAGAAATTCATTTAATAACTATATTTATTATGTAGCTCCAACTTACTAAATTATTGATTATTATATATTTTATAGAATTATCTATTGTGAGTCTAAATCAAGAGTATATATTCAAACAACTATAGGAAAAGGGATATCAGTCAATTTCAATTCAAGGATTTATTTCCATAAGTGCTTACGCACAGGTGTATTTCATTTTATTATACATTGCTTTATTGTCCTTCACAAAAATTGCAATTTACAAATTAAAGGTTTTTGAAAACCTTGAGTCAAGCTAATCAATTTGGCGTAATATTTCCAACAGCAAGTGTGTACTTTTGACTCTATCACATATTGGCATTTATCATGCTTTTTCAAATTTTTCATTGTTATATCTGTTACGGTGATCTGGGATCAGTGTTCCTTGATGGTTACACGTTTATTAGCTTGGGGGCACCTTGATGTGTTACAATATAAGACAGCAAACTTAATTATAAATGTTGTGCATGTACTAACTGCTCCGCTGATTCGTTTCCCCATCCCACTTCTTCTTAGGCCTCCCTATTCCCTGAGACACAGTAATATAACATACAATGACTTCTAAATGTTCCAGTGAAAAGAAAAGTAGCAGGTCTCTCAATTTAAACCAAAAATATAAAGGAATAAGTTTAATGAGTACTATAGTTTAGATATGGTTTGCTTGACCCTACAAAATCCTGTGTTGAAATTTGATCACCAATATTGGAGGTGGGGCTTGATGGGAAGTGTTAGGGTCATGAGGGTAGATTCCTTATGAGTACATTAATGCTCTCCCTGGGGAAATGGGTGAGTTCGTTCTCACTCTATTAGGTCCCAGGAGAGATAATTATTAAAAAGAGCCAGGAACATCCACCTTCTTTCTCTTGCATATCTCTCATTATCTGATCCCTGCACTTGCTGGCTCCCAACATCTTCTTCAATGAGTGGAGGAAACCAGAGGTCTTCACCAGACACAGATGTTGGTGCCATGCCTCTTGTATACCATGAAGAATTGTGAGCCAAATAAAAACCTTTTTCTTTTACAAATTAGACAGCCTCAGTTGTTCCTTTGTAGCAACAAAAAAAGCCTGGGACAGGCCAAAAACTACACCATTGCACCAAACAGTTAAACAAGATGTGAGTGCAAAGGAAAAGTTTTTGGAGGAAATTAAAAGTGCTACTCCAGTGTACATACAAATGATAAGAACAAATAACCATTATCAGTGCTGATATGGAGAAAATTTTAGTTGTCTGGAGAGAAAATCAAATTAGCTAGCTAGCTGCAGTGATTCATATCTGTAATCCCAGTAACTTGGGAGGCTCAGGTGGGAGAACGGCTTGAGCCCAGAAGTTTGAAGTCCAAGGCTGCAGTGAGCTATGATTGCTCCACTGCACTCCAACCTAGGTGATAGAGCAAAACCACTACCAAAAAAAAAAAAAAAAAAAAGAAAAAAAAGAAAAGAAAAAAAATTAAACCAACCACAACATCACCTTAGGTTTTGGCATTAGCTAAAAACTAATACATAGTAAAGCGTTAACTATTCAATTGCATGAAGCCTCAGAGAGGAGAGGAAGATGCAGAAAAAAAGACTGAAGCTAGTAGAGGTTGACTAATGAGGTTTACAGGAATAAACTGCCTACATGATGCAAAAGTTCAATGTGAAGCAATAGGAAGTCATGCAGAAGACTTAGCTAATATACTCAGTAAATGTGGCTACAGTAAACAAATGATTTTCAATGTAGACCTAACAGCCTTCTGTTGGAAGAAGATGCCATTTAAAACTTTCATAGCTAGAGAAGAGAAGTCAATGCTTGTCTTTGAAGCTACAAAAAACAGGCTGAATCTCTTGTAGTGGCTAATGCAGCTGATGACAAAGGTAAAGCCAATGCCCATTTACTTTTTGTAATAATTATAGAGGACTCTTAATAATTATGTTAAATCTACTTTGCCTGTGTTATATCAATGGAACAACAAAGCCTGGATGATATCACATTGGTATATGACATGGCTTATTGAATATTTTAAGCACACTGTTGAGACCTATTGCTCAAAAAAGAGGATTCCTTTCAAAATATTGCTGCTCATTGACAATTCACATGGTCAACAAAGGGCTCTGATTAAGATGTACAGATATTAATGTTTGCCTGCTTGCTATTATTACATCCATCTTACATGCCATGGATCATATAGCCTTGACTTTCAAGTCTTATGTAAGAAATATATTTTGTAAGGCTATAGCTCTTACTAATGGGGAAAGTATATTGAAAACCTTTTCAAAAGGATTTTTCATTCTAGATTCCATTAAGAACATTCATGGTTCATGAGAGGAAGTCAACATATTAACATTAACAAGAGTTTGGAAAAAATTTGATTCTAACTCTCCTGGATGATTTTGAGGGATTGAAGACATCATGTGAAGAATTAACTGGGGATGGGGTGGTCATGAAAAAAGAAATAGAATTATAAGTGGGCCTGAAGGTTTGTCTAAATTGCTATAATATCATGATAAAACTAAAACCTGTAAAACCGGTGAGGAGGTGCTTTTTAAACAGTTACTTTTTATAGATGAACACAGAAATTGGTTTTGTGAGTTGGAATCTTCTCCGAGTGAAAATGCTATGAACATTGTTGAAATGGCTACAAATGACTTAGAATATTACACAAAATTAGTAGATAAGGCAGCATCAAGGTTTGAGAGAATGGACTCAAATTTTGAAAGAAATTCTACTATGGGTAAACTGCTGTGAAACATCATCATATGCTACAGAGAAATCTTTCATGAAAAGATGAGTCAATTCATGCAACAATCTTTGTTGTCTAATTTTAAAAATTGTCCAGCTGCCCTGATCAATCAACAGTAATCAGCACTGAGGCAAGACCCTACACCAGAAAAAATAAAAATAAAAAACCTCACTTGCTGAAGACTCAGCTTATTATTAGCACTTTTTAGCCATACTTTTAACTAAGGTATGTGCATTCCTTTTTAAACGTGATGATATTGCACAGCTAATAGCCTACAAGGTATGGTTAACATAACTTTTATATGTCCTGGGACCCAAATTTGTGTGAATCACTTTATTGGCATATTCCTTTTATTGAGATGAACTGCAACTTATCTTGCAATATCTCCAAGATATGTGTGTATGGCATTTCAAATAAGATGTGAAATTATTTTATTAGTATAAAAAGCAAATTTAATTTTCTTTCCTTTGATCATCTTTATCCTTGTTACTGTGTATTTATCCTTTAAACATTGAATGACTCCAATTGTTTAAAACTGAGTCTTTCTTAAATGAGTCCTAATATCATAGTAATTAAAATCACCTACAAGTTGGTAATGCAGGCAGCATGTGAGGCACAGAAAACAACAAATTTATAAGACATAAATGCATTTGCTTGGAAGCTGAGAGAAGGCTCTATTCTAATTTCTGATAACTTCAAACTGAGTATCTTCAGTAAAATTTATTCACTATCAAATTCAAGGCGTTTGGATTTATGACCTAGGAAAAAACTTCAAACATTAAAATGTGATGACCTTAAAAAGAGGCTCTCCACACTATGGTGTATAACACCACCAACTTTGATTAGAATTTTAAAGAGAAACAAATTCTCTTATGGAGTTTATCTTTTTATCACTTGCAAAATATGTTTTTGTAAAGAGATACTAATTACTTAGTTATTTGTAGTTAGCCATTCTTCTGATTAAAAACCTAAAATTAAATCTTGAAAATGTGTTTTCCTTCAAAACACATCATTTGAGAGAAACACTAAAGTAAGTGTATGATTATCATAGCATGTACATAGGTGCTTCACAACCCAAAAAGAATATTGTCATGGGTAAGAATCAGTAAAGGAATTTCTCCTAATAAAACAGTAGCCTATTAATTAAAGTAATGATATGCAATACAGCAAGTTAAAGGGAACTGATCCTGGTGGGATTATTGAAAGATATACCCTTGACTATAGATTAGAAAATACAGAGATGTTATTTAGTGAAGATATTGTGGTACTCATTTATCATCTGCAATTCACTTGCAGAGGAAAAAATGAGTAATAAATTCATTTGCATTTTGGATTTGTGTCTTTAAGTTGTGAAAATACACTTAAATATAACCATCTGTCCTTTGCTCCTTCCTTCCTTCCTTCCTTCTTTCCTTCCTTCCTTCCTTCTTTCCATCCTTCCCTCCCTCCATCCTTCCTTCCTTCCTTTCTTCCTTCCCTCCTTTCTTTCTCTGTCCTTCCTTCTTTTTTCCTTTCTTTCTTTTTTCTTCTTTATTATTTCATTAATTCCCCCTTCCATTTGACGTCTAAAAGCCATGTTGTTCTAGAGGACTTAAACTTATTTTTTTCTTAATAGCTTACTGAAAAATTAGTGATACAATTTTTTATTTGAATTGTATGCTAATTCATTCTGTTATTTCTTTTATTGAGGAAGGCCCACTACATTATGTGAGACTGTGGGAAAAGCTGAGATATGGCTAATACGAACATATTGGGATTTTGAATTTCCTCAACCATACCAACCTAACTTTGAGTTTGTTGGAGGATTGCACTGTAAACCTGCCAAAGCTTTGCCTAAGGTAGGACTATTGTATTAAGGAATATTATGTACTTTATGACATGACTTGTTTTCCCTTGAAAGATTACAACCTTAGTTATAGAAGGATGATGTTGAATGTCTTCTGTTTGCAGCTCCATATTTATTTTCCATGCCACAGGGGCTCTTATAGGTGATTATATGTCTTTTCGGTATTATATTGAGAAAGTAGGCAGAAGAATGTCATGATTAGAATAGATTTTAAAATACTAGTATTACAATAGTTTGGATAATAAATTGAATTAATAGGGAATTGGAGCCATGAAGATCACTAAAAAGAATGCTCTAGCCTTTCTCACAATCAAATTGGGCTTATGAACAAGGATATTTGTCATGATAGTACAGAAATAAGCATATTTTCATGAGACATATTGGATATATTCCACAGGAGTTGGTGAGTGAGAGAAAATAAGTGATGAAGGAAGACAAAGAATAAAAGAAAATTTCAATAAATGGAAAGTTTAAGTGTTTAATGATAGTGATGACTTTTACTCAAATAAGTGCTTAGAAGTCATCTTGTTTGTGATTTATATGATGAATTCTGTGTTGTGACTATCCACTTTGAGCTCGTGAGAATGTTAGGTGAGGTTTAATAAAAGCCATTTGAGAAAAACAAGGTTTCAACCTCTGTGGACAGAAATCTAAATATCGATAGTTATCAGGACAAAGTAGAGCTCATAGAAATAATTTTGCAGCCTGCAGGTTTCTTTTGGAGTGAAAATAAAATTGTATACTATATTCCTAAATCATCAGAGGAAAAAATTTATAGTTCAAGGAATGTTGAAAGAAACAATATTGAGAAGTAAAAGTGAGTAATAGTTGTTATAGTTTTTTAATAGTTTTGTAAGTATGTCTTGAGTTCACTGTCCCAAAAGTGGCTATTAGCTCTAGCCTTGACCTGACAAGGTTCTAGGATATTTAGTCATGGATGTTCATAATCTACCTCTTACGGGATACTTTTTATTCTGATGAACAGCCTAATGCCTAAGTGTGCAATCTATACCAAGATTGTTCTTATAGGGAACTTGTTTACACTGGAAGACACCACTGTGTCTCTTGTATGACCTATGTCTTCTTTATCCCTACAAAGGTAACCACATTATAGGAAACCCTGACAAGGCCAGATGTTATATTTGTGTTGGTCAAGTGAGAAAACATGGGAGAAACTTAACCAAACACATAAAATAACAGAAACAGTCTTCTTTGACCATTTCTAGAGAAAAGAGTTCAGCATCCCTTGTAAGGCCACTAGGAAGAAGAAAATTCTCTGGGAAAAGCACATTCAACCAATGAATGGAGACCAAGAAAGAGAGTGAGGGATCTATGTGCCAAAATGTTAACTGGGATCCAGGGTGTTACCTAGGTGGGTTTCCAATGGGGAACTGTAATTGGTAGGTTTAATGCAAGCAGGCACAAAGTCCATGGAGGCATTCTGAGACTGAAAGATAGTCACTTTGGCATATCTGCACAGAATCTGATCAGTGATTCAAGCCCAAGTAGGCTGTATCTAGTTGTCCTATAGGGTGGTTACCAGGAGGCAGTGTGTAAGTAAAAATCCTGACTGAACACATTGAGGAAATGGAAGGAGGTGGAAGATTTTAAACGGTGTCAGTGTTGACTAAGACCTGCTTCTGGTATGGAAAATTCAACTTATATTTTAAATGCATAGCCAGACAACATAAAATTATAAGAATTTACCACAATAGCTATGGTAACAATACTGGGTTTACCTATTACTACAGAGTGAAAAGAAAACCCTCATTTCCCATTTTATGGAAATATAATCAAAATCCTATAAGGAAGGTTTCAGAGCCAGTAGGATTTCCAGAAAAATTATTGGTTTTATAGTAAGATGTGTATTGATGAATATAATTTTATTTATTAATTATTAATATCACTTTACTTACCAGGAAAGTTATACCAGAAAACCAAGCTCTCTTAAGCCATGGCATCTGTATCTAAAATAGAAATACAGAAGGAGAGCTGACAATTTCCATCATTCTCTAGGTAATCTCCCATGCCATTCTACCCTTTATTCCCACACTCCCAGTTTTACACACACACACAAACACACACACACAAACACACACTCATAGAAATAATCATAGAAGTCATATTTTTAAAAAAGTTAGATCCATACAGTAATAATTTATTAGGTAAAAGCTTTTGTGCTGATAATTTTACAAGTTTAATTGAGATATATTTTAGGGCTGTCTTACACTAAATATTTATTTTTATTTTTTAAATTTGACATGTAATAATTGCACATGTTTAAGAGAAATGCTGTGGTATTACAATACATTTAAATGTTGTGTAATAATTACATCAAGATAATAAACCCATCATCTAAATATTTATCATTTCTTTGTGGTGATAACATTCAAAAACCTCCTTTCTGGCTATCTTGAAATATGTAATACATTACTATTAACTATAGTTACCCAACAACTTAATATAATAACAGAACATATTCTTCCAAATTTAAACGTTGTATCCATTGATCCACCATTTCTCATTGCCCTCCCTACTATCTCTTCAGCCTCTAGTAACCACAATTCTACTCTCTAATTATATTATGAATGCATTTTTTGATTCCACGTATAAGGGATACCATGCTATCTCTGCCTGGATTATTTCAGTTAACATTATGCCCTGGAGGTTCATTCATGTTTCTACAAATGACAGGATTTCATTCTTTTTTTTCCAATATATATTTAATGAAATGGATATATATAAACATTGGAAAATGTATATATATATATATATATATATATATATATATATCTCCAGTGGAATGCTATTGAGCTATAAAAAAGTTAATATATAATAGAAATAAAGCTTATATATATCTAATGGAATGGATATATATATATAATGGAATAGAAATATATATCTATACATATAAACACACACAATATACATATCCATTTCATTGCATATATATATATAGAGAGAGAGAGAGAGAGAGATATTTTCAAATGTGTGTATATATATCCAATGGAATGGACATATATATATGTATATTTTTTCCATATTTTCTTTATGTATTTCTTCATTAATGGATGTTTAGGTTGATTCATCCCTTGGGTATATGAATAATGTTGATGTAAACATAGAAGGACAGATATCTCTATGACTTCTTAGTTTATTTAAATATACACCCAGTAATGGAAATGCTGTATAATATGGTAGTTCTATTTTCATTTTTTGAGGAACTACCATACCGTTTTCCTTACTAATTGTACTAATTTGCATTTCCCTCAACAGTTTATAAAAGATCTTCTTTCTCTGCATACTTTCTAGCACTTGTTATTTTTGCCTTTTGATAATAGCCATAACAGGGGTGATGTGATATCTCATTGTAGTTTTGATTTGCATTTCCCTGATGATTAGTGATTTTGAGCATTTTGTAATTATACTTCTTAGTCACTGATAGTCTTCTTTTGAGAAGTGTCTATTCAGGTCTTTTGCTTATTTTTTAATCAAATTAGTAATTTATTTTTATTGACTGATGTGACTTCTATGTATATTTGAGATGGTAACTTATTGTCAGATTCATAGTTTGCAAATATTTTTCATGTTGTGAATTGTCTCTTCACCCTGTTGTTTGCTTCATTTTCTCTGCACAAGCTCAATGCTTTGATATAACCCGTTTATCTACTTTTCCTTTTGTTGGCTGTGCTTCTGAAGTCCTATCCAAAAAAATCCTTGCCTAGACCAATGTCACAAATCATTCCTCCTACAGTTTCTTCTAGTAGTTGTATAATGTTTGGCCTTATATTTAACTTTGTAATTCATTTTTACTTACTTTGTATATGGTGAGGGATAGAGGTCTAGTTTCATTTTCTGCATGTGGATATGCAGTTTTCCTAGCACCATTTAGTGAAGAGGTTGCCTTTTTTCTATTATGTGTTCTTGGCACCTTTGTCAAAAGTCAGTTAGCTGCTATATTCCTCCATTTGTGTTGTTATAGAGGAACACATGAGACTAGCAAATTTATATATCAAATAGAATTATTTGAATGATAGTTCTGCATACTGTACAAGAAGCACAGCACTGACTTCTGCTTGGCCTCTGGTAAGGTTCTCAAGATGCTTCCACTTGTGGTAGAAGGCAAACATGAGCTGGTATATGCAAAGGTCTCATGACAAGAGAGGAAACCATAAAGAGGGGATGTGAGGGAGTGCCAGGTTTTGTAAAACAACTAGCTCTTCTGGGAACTAATAGAGTAAAAATTCGCCTCCCAGGCAGGGGATTAATCTATTCATGAGGGATCTGCTTCCATGACAAAGGCACATTCTGTTAGATTCTACCCCCAATATTGGGGATCAAATTTTAACATGAAGTGTGGAGGGCTCAAATATCCATACTATGGCAGCAGTAAATGCATAAATTTATTTTGTGGATCTCTATTCTATATAGTATTGGTGTATGTATCTGTTTTCATGCCACTGCCATACTGTTTTGGTGATATCTATGCTATATATGTGTGTGTGTATATATATATTATATATATGTATATATGTGTATATTATATATATGTATATATGTGTATATTATATATATACAATACTTTAAGTTTTATATATATATAAAATACTTTAAGTTCAAGGGTACATGTGCAGGATGTGCAGGTCAGTTACATAGGTATACATGTGCCATTTTGGTTTGCTGCATGCATCAACTCATCATTACATTAGGTATTTCTCCTAATGCTATCCCTCCACCAGCCACCCAACCCCCAACAGGCCAGGTGTGTGATGTTCCCCGCCCTGTGTCCATGTGTTCTCATTGTTCACTTCCTACCTAAAAGTGAGAACATGCAGTGTTTGATTTTCTATCCTTGTGATAGTTTGCTGAGAATGACTGTTTTCAGCTTCATCCATGTCCCTCAAAAGGACATGAACTCATCCTTATTTATGGCTGCATAGTATTCCATGGTGTATATGTGCTACGTTTTCTTAATCCAGTCTATCACTGTTGGACATTTGGGTTGGTTCCAAGTCTTTGCTATTGTGAATAGTGCTACAATAAACATATGTGTGCATGTGTCTTTATAGCAACATGATTTACTATCCTTTGTGTACATACCCAGTAATGGGATAACTGGGTCAAATGGTATTTCTAGTTCTAGATCCTTGAGGAATCCCCACACTGTCTTCCACAATGGTTGAACTAATTTACATTCCCACCAACAGTGTAAAAACGTTCCTATTTCCCCACATCCTCTCCAGTATCTGTTGTTTCCTGACTTTTTAATGATGGCCATTCTAACTCACATGAGATGGTATCTCATTGTGGTTTTTGTTTGCATTTCTCTGATGACCAGTGATGATGAGCATTTTTTCATGTGTCTTTTGGCTGCATAAATGTCTTCTTTTGACAAGTGTCTGTTCATATCCTTTGCCCACTTTTCAATGGAGTTGTTTGTTTTTTTCCTGTAAATTTGTTTAAGTTCATTGTAGATTCTGGATATTAGCCCTTTGTCAGATGGGTAGATTGCAAAAATTTTCTCCCATTCTGTAGGTTGCCTGTTCACCCTGATGGTAGTTTCTTTTGCTGTGCAGAAGCTCTTTAGCTTAATTAGATCCCATTTGTCAATTTCGGCTTTTGTTGCCATTGCTTTTGGTGTTTTAGTCATGAAACCCTTGCCCAGGCCTAAGTCCTCAGTGGTATAGCCTAGGTTTTCTTCTAGGATTTTTATGGTTTCAGGTCTAACATTTAAGTCTTTAATCCATCTTAAATTAATTTTTGTATAAGATGTAAGAAGGGATCCGTTTCAACTTTCTACATATGGCTAGCGTGTTTTCCCAACACCATTTATTAAATAGGGAATCCTTTCTCCATTTCTTGATTTTGTCAGATTTGTCAAAGATCACATGGTTAGAGATGTGTAGTGTTATTTCTGAGGCCTCTGTTCTGTTCCATTGGTCTGTATATCTGTTTTGATACCAGTACCATGTTGTTTTGGTTACTGCAGCCTTGTAATGTAGTTTGACATCAGGTACCATGATGCCTCCAGCTTTGTTCTTTTTGCTTAGGATTGTCTTGGCAATGCAGGCTCATTTTTGCTTCTATGTGAACTTTAAAGTAGTTTTTTCCAATTCTGTGAAGAAAGCCATCGGTAGCTTGATGGGCATGGCATTGAATCTATAAATTACCTTGGACAGTATGTCCATTTTCATGATATTAATTCTTCCTATCCATGAGCATGGAATGTTCTTCCATTTGTTTGTGTCCTCTTTTATTTCATTGAGCAGTGGTTTGTAGTACTCCTTGAAGAGATCTTTCACATCCCTTGTAAGTTGGATTCCTAGGTATTTTATTCTGTTTGTAGCAATTGTGAATGACAGTTCAATCATGATTTGGCTGTTTGTCTGTTATTGTTATATAGGAATGCTTGTGATTTTTGCTCATTGATTTTGTATCCTCAGACTTTGCTGAAGTTGCTTATCAGCTGAAGGAGATTTTGGGCCGAGATGAAGGGGTTTTCTAAATATCCAATAATGTCATCTGCAAACGGGGACAATTTGACTTACTCTTTTCCTAATTGAATATCCTTTCTTCTTTCTCTTGCCTGATTGCCCTGTCCAGAGCTTCCAATGCTGTGTTGAATAGGAGTGGTGAGAGAAGGCATCTTTGTCTTGTGCAAGTTTTCAAAGGGAATGCTTCCAGTTTTTGCCCACTCAGTATGATATTGGCTATGGGTTTGTCATAAATAGCTCTTATTATTTTGAAATGTGTTCCATCAATTCCTAGTTTATTGAGAGTTACTAGCATGAAGGGTGTTGAATTTTGTTGAAGGTGTTTTCTGCATCTATTGATATAATCGTGGTTTTCCTCGTTGTTTCTGCTTGTGTGAAGGATTACATTTATTGATTTGTGGATGTTGAACCAGACTTGCCTCCGGGGATGAAGCCAACTTGATCATGGTGGAAAAGGTTTTTGACATGCAGCTGGATTCGGTTTGCCAGTATTTTATTGAGGGTTTTTGCAGTGATATTCCTCAGAGATATTGGTCTAAAATTCTCTTTTTTTGTTGTGTCTCTGCCAGGCTTTGGTATCAGGACGATGCTGGCCTCATAACATGAGTTAGGGAGGATTCTCTCTTTTTCTATTGATTGGAATGGTTTCAGAAGGAATGGTACCAGCTCCTATTTGTACCTCTGATATAATTCAGCTGTGAATCCATCTGGTCCAGGACTTTTTTTGGTTTGTAGGATATTATTGCCTCAATTTCTGAGGCTGTTATTGTTCCATTCAGAGATTCAAATTTTTCTTGATTTAGTCTTGGGATGGTGTATGTGTCCAGGAATTCATCCGTTTCTTTAGATTCTCTAGTTTATTTGCATACAGGTGTTTATAATATTCTCTGACGGTAGTTTGTATTTCTGTGTGAACAGTGGTGATATCCTCTTTATCATTTTTATTGTGTCTATTTGATTTTTCTCTATTTTATTCTTTATTTGTCTTGCTAGTGGTCTATTTATTTTGTTGATCTTTTCAAACAACCAGCTCCTGGATTCATTGATTTGTTGAAGGGTTTTTCGTGTCCCTATCTCCTTCAGTTCTGCTCTGATCTTAGTTAATTCTTGTCTTCTACCAGCTTTTGAATGTATTTGCTCTTGCTTCTCTGGTTCTATTAATTGTGATGTTAGGGTGTCGATTTTAGATTTTTCCTGCTTTCTCTTCTGGGCATTCAGTGATATAAATTTCCCTTTACACACTGATTTAAATGTGTCCCAGAGATTCTAGTACTTCGTATCTTTGTTCTCATTGGTTTCAAAGAACATCTTTATTTTTGCCTTCATTTTATTATTTCTCTGGTAGTCATTCAGGTGCAGGTTACTCAGTTTCTATGTAGTTGTGCAGTTTTGAGTGAGTTTCTTAATCCTGAGTTCTAATTTGATTACACAGTGGTCTGAGAGACTGTTGTGATTTCTGTTCTTTTACATTTGCTAAGGAGTGTTTTACTTCCAATTATGTGGTCAATTTTAGAATAAGTATGATGTGGTCCTGAGAAGAATGTATATGCTGTTGATTTGGGGTGGAGAGTTTAGTAAATGTCTACTAGGTCTGCTTGGAGCAGAGCTGAGTTCAAGTCCTGGATATCCGTGTTAACCTTCTGTCTCCTTGATCTTTCTAATAACAACAGTGGGGTGTTAAAGTCTCCCATTATTATTGTATGTCTCTTTGTCGGTCTCTCAGGACTTGCTTTATGAATCTGGGTGCTCCTGTATTGGGTGCATATATATTTAGGATAGTTAGCTCTTCTTGTTGAATTGATCCCTTTACCATTATGTAATGACCTTCTTTGTCTCTTTTGATCTTTGTTGGTTTAAAGCCTGTTTTATCAGTGACTAGGATTGCAACCTCTGCTTTTTTTTTTTTTTTTTTTTTGCTTTCCATTTACTTTGTAGATCTTCCTTTATCACTTTATTTTGTGTCTATGTGTGTCTCTGTATGTGAGATGGGTCCCCTGAATACAACATACTGATGGTTCTTGACTCTTTATACAATTTGCCAGTCTGTGTCTCTTAATTGGGCCATTTAGCTCATTTACATTTTAGGTTAATATTGTTATGTGTGAATTTGATCCTGTCATTGTGATGTTAGCTGATTATTTTGCTCATTAATTGAAGCAGTTTCTTCATAGCATTGATGGTCTTTACAATTTGGCATGTTTTTGCAGTGGCTGGTACCAGTTGTTCTTTTCCATGTTAAGTGCTTCCTTCGGGAGCTCTTGTAAGGCAGGCCTGGTGGTGACAAAATCTCTCAGCATTTGCTTGTCTGTAAAGGATTTCATTTCTTCTTCACTTATGAAACTTAATTTGGCTGCATATCTGATTCTGGGTTGAAAATTCTTTCCTTTAAGAATGTTGAATATTGGCCCCCACTCTCTTCTGGCTTGTAGGGTTTGCTGAGAGATCCACTGTTTGTCTGATGGGCTTTCCTTTGTCGGTAACCTGACCTTTCTCTCTGGCTGCTTTTAGCATTTTTTCCTTCATTTCAACCTTAGTGAATCTGACAATTATGTGTCTTGGAGTTGGTCTTCTCAAGGAATATCTTTGTGGTGTTCTCTGTATTTCCTGAATTTGAATGTTGGCCTGCCTCGCTAGGTTGGGAAAGTTCTCCTGGATAATATACTGAAGAGTGTTTTCTAACTTGGTTCCATTCTCTCCATCACATTCAGGTACACCAATCAAACATATATTTGGTCTTTTCACATAGTCCCATATTTCTTGGAGGCTTTGTTCCTTTCTTTTTACACTTTTTTCCCTAAACTTGTCTTCTTGCTTTATTTCATTAATTTGATCTTCAATCACTGATATCTTTTTTTCCAACTGATCAAATCGGCTATTGAAGCTTGCGCATGTGTCATGACGTTCTCATGCTATGGTTTTCAGCTCCATCAGGTCATTTAAGGTCTTCTCTACACTGTTTATTCTAGTTAGCCATTTGTCTAACCTTTTCTCAAGGCTTTTGTCTTCCTTGCGATGGGTTAGAACATGCTCCTTTAGCTCAGAGAAGTTTGTTATTACAGACTTTCTGAAGTCTACTTCTGTCAGCTCATCAAAGTCATTCTCCATCCAGCTTTGATCCATTGCTGGTGAGGAGCTGCAATCCTTTGGAGGAGTAGTGGCGCTCTGCTTTTTAGAACATTCAGCTTTTCTGCTCTGGTTTCTCTCCATCTTTGTGGTTTTATCTACCTTTGGTCTTTGATGTTGGTGACCTACAGATGGGGTTTTGGTGTGGATGTCCTTTTTATTGATTTTGATGTTATTTCTTTCTGTTTGTTAGTTTTCCTTCTAACACCCAGGTCCCTCAGCTTCAGGTCTGTTGGAGTTTGCTGGAGGTCCACTCCAGACCCTGTTTGCCTGGTATCACCAGAAGAGGCTGCAGAACAGCAAATACTGCAGAACAGCAAATATTGCTGCTGGATTCTTCCTCTGGAAGCAAATATATTATGCATATATATATATATATATATATATATATATATATATATATACATACATACATACATACACACCTCCTTGTCTGGTGTGGGATCAGGGTAATGCTAGCCTCACAAGATGATACTGAAGTGTTTTTGCCTTTTTGACTTTTTGATGGTTTGGAAGAGTGAGAAAAAGTGTTATTAATTATTCTTTAAATTTTGTTGAATTTCATAGTGAAGACCTTAGCTCACTGGCTTTTTTAATGAGACTTTATTACTGATTTAAACTTCTTCTTCATTATTTATTTCTCCTTGTTTTTATTTCTTCATAATCCAGTCCTATTTTATGTGTCCACTAAATTGTTTATTTTCCTAGATTTTTCCATTTATTGGCATATGCATGTCCATAGAAGCCTTTTATAGTCCTTTTCATTTCTAGTGTCATTTTTTTCCTTTTTTTTAAGAATCCTTAAGATTTTAGAGATGAAATGTCACTTTGTTACGCATACTGGAGTGCGGTGACATTATTATAGCTCACTGAAACCCAAACTCCTGAGTTTAAGCAATCCTTCTACCTCAAAATTCCAAAATTCCTGAGTAGCTGAGACAGGCATACACCATCAAGACTGGCTAATTTATTTCAAATTTTGTAGAGATGGGTTCTTACTAAGCTATTCTCAATCTTTGGGCTTCAAGTGATTCTTCAGCCTCTGTCTCTGAAAATGCTGGGTTTATAGATATGAGCCTCTATGCCTGATTTGCTTTGTCTCTTTGTAATCTCCCATTTTATTTGTGTCTTTTCTGGTTTGTTTCATTTTGTTATGTTTTCAGTTACCTTGCTAAAGCTTTGTCGATTTTATCTCTTCAAACAACTAACTCAATATTTTGCTGATTTTCCATATAGTATTTTATTTCTATTTCATTTATTTCTGCTCTAATCTTTGTTAAATATCTTGTTTTCCTAATAATTTTGAGTTTCCTTGTTCTTGTTTTCTAATTCCTTGAGATGTTATCATAAATTGTTTATTTGATATCTTTCTACTTTTTTGATGTGTGTGTTCGTTGTTGTAGACTTTCCTCTTTATTATTCTGATTTCTTCCTCAATTCTCTAATATTATGATTGCATTATTTTCCAAGTTTCTTTTGTTTTTTTATTTATAGTTTATGTGATTCCTGAACTTGTCAAAGAGATTATTGTGAATTTGATGTCGGATATTTAAGCATTTTCAAAACTTTTGGTGCATTATTGAAATTTTATTGGTTTATTTTAGAGATGTCATACTTCCCAGTTTTTTTTTAACAATACTTGCTCTTTATATTGATGTCTACATATTTAAAAAGATAACCACCTGATTCAGCTTTTTAAGGTGATATGCAGTGGTGTTAAGTGTGTACTGCTTAATATCAGAGCTGAATCACTGCCCTGAGGATTCTTTCTGTTCTGAGGAGAGCTTGTAGTTAATAGCAGAACCTAAATAGTGCAGTAGAGCTAAATCTCTTCCATGCTGTTGTTTTCCTGTCTGGGGAAGACTTATCATGACCATGAAAACATAATGCTGTGCCAGAACTTAAACCCAAACCTGTAGTAATTTCTGAGTTGAGGAAGGCTTAAGAAATAACTGGAACTTAGTTACTAACCTGATAGTTGTTTCTGAGTCAGAGAAATGCTCTGCATGATCACCTGGGATATTTGTAAAATCTAACCAAAGATTCTAGCCTTCCCTTGGATTGTGTCTCCTGTACTACTGTAGTGCTGGCTAGGTCCTCATCAGTGAATTCCCTGCTGATAGGACCACAAAGCATCTGCCAAGATCTGTTTGCCATTTGCTGTGATTAGTGCTTCTGCTCTTTGCTTCCAATTCAACTCAGGTGGTTCAGCCCTTCTGACACTCCTAATACCTCCTGTGGGATGGAACATAGAAGGCTTCTCACAATGATTCACACACTGATATGGAGATTGAATGTCCAGTTGCAACTATTTTCTTCCACCTGTGTAATTGCAGGTACAGGGAAGTTTTCTGTGACTGATGCTATTTTGGTTTGGAGAATGGGGTGATGTGGCACAATGATCTTTCTTCTTTCTGGTCATGGATTTTTTAATTTCCATGAACCCATAAGATTTTTCACTTTTCTTCTGAGCTCTGGTGCTTTCAGAGTGGTATTTTTATATTCGAATAGTTGCTAGTTGTACTTTTAAAAGCGATTGATGCTGGAGGTCTTCTATTCCACCATCTCGCTGATGTCAGTCCTCAAATAATAATTTTATATTTTAGCAAATTATTTTGGTTTTAGGATTTTGTGTCTACGTGACACAGACATGAAAAGAGATGTACTCATTACTGAAACTTTTTGCATACTGTTTTGGTTGTGCGCCTTTTCTAGTATGAATGATTACATATTTAAGCCACATGTTTTATACATAGACTGTCCTTTAAAGAGACTAGATAGTTCTGTGTGTCAGCATATAGGGACAGAATATAACTACACATTAATAATTTCTCAAGTATTTATTTTAGAAGTGTAAGTAACCTTTATTTTAATTTTTGTTATATTATGCCTCTGTAATGCAGATAAATTTTTATCTTCAGGAAATGGAAAATTTTGTCCAGAGTTCAGGGGAAGATGGTATTGTGGTGTTTTCTCTGGGGTCACTGTTTCAAAATGTTACAGAAGAAAAGGCTAATATCATTGCTTCAGCCCTTGCCCAGATCCCACAGAAGGTCAGTAAAACCTCCAATCCTGATAAGCAGCTATTCACATAATGAAACAGTATGGTTTTATTTGGGTCTTGAATCTCATTTTCCACTTAGCATAACAGGTACCAAAATTTGCAAAACATTATAGTAGTGTACATGGGCATAACTGATCATTTGCCTACTGAGTCTTGCTGTTACTGGAAACAACTTTCTTGATTGTCATTTGTTTATAATAAAATAGATATAATAAATAAAGCCCTACCTTATATTTTAGGATTTGAAATCTAAAAGCGTGTGCCAATGATTCCAAAAAAAAATTCTGACATCTATTATTTCAAAGGACCAGAAAAAGGAAAACTGATATAAAAAAAAAAAGAAGAATCAATCTCAAGAATATCTTCTCATATTTGTGTGTATAAAAACTGTATTCAGGGTAGTTTTGCTTAGAAATAAAAGCTCAGATTAATGTAGTCTTTCTAAATAATTAGAAGTTTCAAAAGTAAAATGTCAATTACAATTATAGTATAGTAACAATTATTTAAGTAATGTAATTATTTATGATACTCCACTAATTTTAACTTTATTATTACTGTAATTCTAGAATTTCACACTTTAGATAGTGCTATATATAAACTATCCAAAAGATATTTCATTTTATATTTAGCTAAAATACTTCAAACTCAATAAAGGCAAGCATACTAATTAGGAATTTGAAATATTGTAATTTTAATTATGAAATTATCTGTTAAGTAGTTTGAAACATCTATGCCGTTCTTTGTTTTCAAATGTATAAAATTTGTATAGGTGTCCAACAAAGAAAAATTGTGTAAAAAAAAGGTACAATCTCAAAGAAAATTTATCATTGAACAGTGGAACATAAGTAATTTTCTAGCTCATTCTTCTTCAATAAAACAATTAAATATAAGAAGAAAGAGGCCAGGAAGGAAATAGAGAAGAAAAGACACCTGATTATCCAAAAGACACACATAATTGAAAGCAAATTTTTATCTGCAGGGAACTGTAAATTTGATGGTAGAATGAGATTGGCTCCATGAGTTAAAATGACACACAGATCAGGTACTTATAAAATTTTTAATTCTTATATAAAAATAGATTAGCCACTGCTGAATTATTTTTTTAAATATTCACTGGTATTCTCATTCTCAAATATTTTTAATTGGTAATAAAATAATAATAGCATACCTAATAGGCAACTGGTACACATTATTTTAAAAGATCTTTGTAAAACGTCCTACTATATCTTTCAGTCTTTACGCGGTAGCTCTACACACCCCTGTCTCAACCATCACCTGAAGTACAATGAGTTTATAATTTATAACTATATCTACATCCTTAGAATGCTAATATCCTGTGGTTCACTCTGTGAAATACATGTGTTTCTTCCGTAGGTGTTATGGAGGTACAAAGGAAAAAAACCATCCACATTAGGAGCCAATACTCGGCTGTATGATTGGATACCCCAGAATGATCTTCTTGGTAGGTCTATGAGAAAGTAAAAATATGAACTAGACGAGGAAAAAATGAATAAATGTTAAACAGCAAGCAAATTCAGCAAAGATCTAAAATTATAAAACTTTATTTTACTTACTCTTTTGAAGCAGATATAATTAAAGGATTGACTAAAATTGTATAGATTCACACTTTCTATTGTTAAGGTGAGAGTGACAGGAAATTCAGAAGGAATTAATGCCTATTTTTCTGGAGATAGAAATGATCTTTAGTAGCAATGCTCCATGTGCTCACCTTCTAAAGAAAGTGCTGTACGCTTCAGTGAGTTATCTCGTAATTCCCATCTGTAGTCTTTAAATAATTTTAAAAGTTTAGAATAAAATATCTCACCATTTCTCATCCAATTTACATACTAGGTCATCCCAAAACCAAAGCTTTTATCACTCATGGTGGAATGAATGGGATCTATGAAGCTATTTACCATGGGGTCCCTATGGTGGGAGTTCCCATATTTGGTGATCAGCTTGATAACATAGCTCACATGAAGGCCAAAGGAGCAGCTGTAGAAATAAACTTCAAAACTATGACAAGCGAAGATTTACTGAGGGCTTTGAGAACAGTCATTACCGATTCCTCGTAAGTACTACTGCTTGTACAGACTGATCTAACATTGACTATGTTATACATTATACCAGAAAATGTTAAATATCATCCTGGTAGACATGTTGAGGGATTTTACTCCACAATATTGAGTCATTCATCACCTTGTTACTGGAATAGTTGTGGAAATTGTAGTTCATAGAGTGTCAAACTTTCTTCATGGAAATATTAGGTTTAAGTTAACAACTGGCTTACTAAGCTTTTATTCACATCTTAATTTTACCCCATTTTGTTAAGAATATACTCTTTCAGTCTCTCCACTATATCTGTTTAATACTATGTAACCAACAATATTCATGTCACAACCAGAATCAATCTTTTACTGAACATGTTCTTGGCTTGCATAACATATACTACGGTTTATCTACCTGTCTTTTATGAAAACAAAACTACAACTTTCTAAGTTCTATGTGTGTTTTTCCCTTCCAGTTATAAAGAGAATGCTATGAGATTATCAAGAATTCACCATGATCAACCTGTAAAGCCCCTAGATCGAGCAGTCTTCTGGATCGAGTTTGTCATGCGCCACAAAGGAGCCAAGCACCTGCGATCAGCTGCCCATGACCTCACCTGGTTCCAGCACTACTCTATAGATGTGATTGGGTTCCTGCTGGCCTGTGTGGCAACTGCTATATTCTTGTTCACAAAATGTTTTTTATTTTCCTGTCAAAAATTTAATAAAACTAGAAAGATAGAAAAGAGGGAATAGATCTTTCCAAATTCAAGAAAGACCTGATGGGGTAATCCTGTTAATTCCAGCCACATAGAATTTGGTGAAAACCTTGCTATTTTCATATTATCTATTCTGTTATTTTATCTTAGCTATATAGCCTAGAATTCCACGATCATGAGGTTGTGAGTATATCTCATTCTTTCGTTGTATTTTCCTAGGTGTCTTTACTCTCTTCTCTCACTTTGTGACACAAGGACATGAATACATCTAAATTTTCCTATTTCTGATATGACTGTTTTGATGATGTCATTACTTCTATAACCTTAAGTGATAGGGTGACATGCAATATGATTATTCCTGGTGTGCGCCCAAACACATGGATATAAAGAGGTAAAAAACTTAAAATTCACAAAATTCAGTAAACCACACAAATCAGGTAAGTGTTCTATGAGATTAGCTGGCTATGAGAAACATAATGATGTTTCTTTTTCAATTTAAATAAGCCCTTCTACATAGCCAGCATCAGTGATCTCAGAAAATAAATTGCTAATAATGATGACATGGCATTATGCTTAGAAAAGTTTGCTGTATTTCCATAGACCTCATCTAGATGTCATGGCCTACATTTCTGCCATCACTCAACCAATACTTTTTTCTGTTTTCTTGATGATAAAAAGACCTTTCTCATGATTGCCATCAAATAACAAAAGAAACTATTTTTTTTCTCACATAGAGAACATGTCAGTAAGATATTCAAGGTGAACAGATTATTTTTGGGATTAGTAACTATTTGAAATATGTGGTGATAATTACTGAGTTTATAAAATTTATTTGATAGTACACTTAAAGAAGATTTATATGTTTATTCTTTAAAAATGATGAATACTCATAATTCTTATCTCTATAATCAAAAGTATAATTTACTGTAGAAAAATAAAGAGATGCTTGTTCTGAAAGTAAGATCAGTGAACTGCTTTTCAGTCTCAATCTTTGAGAATTGTAAATTCATCAAATAATTGCTTACATAGTAAAAATTTAAGGTATTAGAAAACCTGCATAACAAATAGTATTATATATTAAATATTTTGATATGTAAAGCTCTACACAAAGCTAAATATAGTGTAATAATGTTTACACTAATAAGCAAATATGTTAATCTTCTCATTTTTTTACTGTCATATAATCTTAGTGATATGCCTATTAATAGTTTTAAATAAATAAATTGGCTCATCTGGCTTTTTGAAAATTTTGAAATTCTTACAGATGTTGATTAGGTATATCTACAAATTAATTTCAATTTTAAAATGATGATATAAAAATAAATATAAGTATTTTTCTTGTGTATGTATACAATAAATATAAATAAAATTGTTTACTGTTTTGAAAGTTTCTTAAGTTTTTACACTGATATGTTTTTTGACTTTTACAATATTATTATAATCTAGGAAAAGCTGATTATATCTGTTTTAAGCCTCATCTTTTCTCTGTAATTAAACACAGTAATTTATTAACATGCTGTGACAGGTGGGAAGCCATTTCTGGAGTTGAGCCTGCTGACACTCTGGAGCTTTTTAGGTTGGACGTTCATTGTATGTGGGACTCTCTGCCTCTCGATAGCTGTTGCTCATAAGACTCTCCTTCATCAATCTGGCATTGAATTTTGAGATCAGTTGCAATCAGAATCCAATTGGCCTTGCCGTTTTAGTATGTTCTATCTTAACCAGCAATTTCTAACCAGGAGCCTGCCCAGGTTTGTTCTGTCTTCCCTGTAAGAAGCTCCCAGCATAAATATTCTAAATTTTACACTACTAATCTATTAACCAACCTTTGGACCATGTTCACTTTAGGTTGAGCATAGTGTGATGAGATGCAAATTAAATTACAATCCTATAGGTGTGTGTTATAAATTTTAAAGTGTATAAATTAAATAACACATTCTAAGTATCCAACAAAGGTCAAAAAAATGATATAAAGTCACCAAACCAATGCTATTTGAGCTCATCTTATTTCAGAAATTTTCTGGTAATATCACCTTTTGTTTTTTTAAATTATATCAATTATTGCAAACAAAGGAAATCTCAAAGGAATTTTTAATAATTACCTAGAATCTCACTTCTAGACCTAGCAAATAACAGCAAATTCCCATATTTTCATCACATTGTCTTTAAAATTTGCACATGGTGTGGTGGCAAAATTGTTGTTTTAAAGGTGACAGAGTAAGAATGCCCTGTCCCTGTTTCCCCATGCAGAAAGAGACTTAACAACATCATATAGACCAAATTGCCATGGTGATAATCCCAGAAACCAGTGAAAAGATTACAGCACCCCAGAAAAGAGCAAAACCAAGAAGAATTTTATTGAAATATCTTAAGAAGTGTTGTATCATATACTCTCTATAGATCCTTCTCTAGCCAGTACAGCATTACACAATCAGGAAAAAAATATCCTTAGTCATCACATTTCCCACAGGAGTGAAAGGAGAGTGAAATGTGGTCTAATTTTCCGGCTCCTTAGGGGACATCCCAAGGGTCTGATTTCTGTCACCGAACTTAAATCACTTATAGAAACCACAGCTTTTGAATGCCTGGGAATAAAGGCAGTGTGGCAGTTTAAAGCAGTAGCAAAAAAGCTGCATTATTACTACAGAATGGCACGAGGGAAAGCAAAATATTACAAAATCCTGAAAACAAACAAACAAAAAAATCCTATTTAACTTGGTAATTACATTCAAAAGCCCTGAGAGGATACAGCTCTTGGAAACGTTTGCCAAGCTCCCAGAATCTCTAGCTGGGGTGATAGATGAAGGTATTTCCCTACACTAAGCCAGTACATAAAGACTTGGAGATGTGGGTGTTTCTTTAAATCTCAAAATTTAAACAAAGAAATGCAAAACATGCAGACACCAGAAAGTATGACCTATTTAAAGGAACAAAATAAACATTTTTTAAAGCCTGAATGAACAAAGATCTATTAATTACTTGTCAAAAAATTCAAAATATATTAAATACCTATCAAAAATTTCAAAAATAATTAAAGATGCTCTATTAGCTAAAAGAACACAGACACATTTTTGAAAACCAGGAAAATAATACATATATGAAATAAGAGTATCAATAAGACATAAAAAGTATAGAAAGGAACCAAATAGAAATTCTGGAGCTAAATAATACAAAAACTAAATTGAAAAATTTACTAGAGAAATTCAATAGATGACTTGATCAGCTAGAAAAAATAATTCATGAATTTGAAAATATTGGCCATTTGAAACTATTAAGGGAGAGGAGCAAAAAGAATATGATAATAAAGTGAAGAAAGCCTGACACTTATGGGACATTGTTAACCAGACCAGTTATGCATTACGAGAGCCCTCATGGGACAAGAGGAAAAGATTGAGGCAAAAAGTCTATTTAAAGAATTAATGGCAGGCAGAAAATTTCCCAAATTTGAGAAAAAATATGGATGTAGAATTGTTTTAAAACACAACTACTGTACACTGAAATCAATTCAAAAATTTTACACCAATAAATATTATAATCAGTCTTTCAAAAGTCACAGACAAAGAATATTGGAAGCAGAAAAAGAAAAAATGGATCATGACATAAAAGGGAATTCACATGATATCAACAAGATACAAGAGGATATCTTTTTAAACCAAAAGTAAGCGACATAATATATTCAAAGTATTGAAAGAAAAATAAGAAAAAATCCCTACCACACAAGACATTCATTTGGCAAACCTGTCATTCAGAATGGAAAATGGAATATTTTCTCAGGTTAAAAAAAAAGGTTGAAGAAGGTAATTATTACCACACCCGTTCTACAAGAAAAGCAAAAAGGAGTCATTCAAGTTGAAATGAGGGAGGCTAGGTAGCAAAATGAATGAATGTAAAAGTATAAATCTATCTGGTAAAGATAAATAAATAATTAAATATAAAGTCACATAAGTTTTTAATGTTGATGCACAAGTTAATTTTAATTCTGATATGCAATTTAAAAGAGAAAAGCATAAAAGTAACATTACATTTATATTAATTGGGACAGAAGATAAAATATATAACTAGTGATATTACTAACATAAAGTAGAAATGGGAGATGTAAAGAAATACAGTTTTCATATATAATTAAAGGTTTTTTTGGTTTAAAATGGACTGTTATTTTAAAATATTTTAATGTTATTTATTATTTATTTATGCTTTATTTTTTATAATTTATAATTATTTTTCATTAATTATGTAAAATAATTTAATTCTATATTTTTATTTTATTTCTATTTTATTTATGTATTTATTTTTTAAAATATTTTTATTACACAATGTTTATTATAAAATTTTTTATACAATCCTCATGGTAAGCACAAAATATACCTATAGAACAAGAGTGTCCAATCTTTTCAATCTTTTTTTTTTTTTTTTGAGACGGAGTCTCGCTCTGTCGCCCAGGCTGGAGTGCAGTGGCGCGATCTCGGCTCACTGCAAGCTCCACTTCCCGGGTTCACGCCATTCTCCTGCCTCAGCCTCCCGAGTAGCTGGGACTACAGGCGCCCGCTACCACGCCCGGCTAATTTTTTGTATTTTTAGTAGAGACGGGGTTTCACCGTGTTAGCCAGGATGGTCTCGATCTCCTGACCTCGTGATCCGCCCGCCTCGGCCTCCCAAAGTGCTGGGATTACAGGCGTGAGCCACAGCGCCCGGCCAAGAGTGTCCAATCTTTTGCCTTCCCTGGACCACAGTGGGAAAAGAAGAATTGCCTTGGGCTACACTTAAAATACACTAACACTAGCCATAGCTGGTGAGCTGAGAAAAAAATAGCAAGAGAAATCACAACGTTTTAAGAAAGTTTACAAGTTTGTGTTGGGCCGTATTCAAAACCATCGTGTGCTGCATGCATACACATATTTACATGAATACCCTTAGTAGAGGCCAGCTATCTTCATATTATACATTGTCTTGATAAGAAACTGAGTGACTGAGTCAGTTAAAAGACATAATTTACTCCAATAATTCCTGTTAATACTTGATTTTCTCTCTTTAGTAATTTGTACCAATTTTTTCAGTAGTGCCTGCTGTGCTGTTACTCTTTTGTGATGGAACAAATTCTTTTTTCACAGGAAATGGAAGAGTTTTTCCAGAGCTCTGGAGAAAATGGTGTTGTAGTGTTTTCTCTGGGGTTAATGGTCAGTAACATGAAAGAAGAAAGGACCAATATAATTGCATCAGCTCTTGCCAAGATGCCGCAGAAAGATAGATAAAGTGCCTTACTGGTATGGAAAACTACTAAAAGAGGCTGTTAAATTCTGTAAAGAATCCAATTATAGAAATTTCCTGCCTAGAAATGTAGCTGTTGGGAAAGCACTAATTATCAGATATTAGTTCAAGATCAGAAATATACATGGAAGATGCTAAAATAATACAAAGGGTATATTCATGGATAAATACATTTGGCACTAATATTGTGATCAGGAATAAATATATTAAGAGGGGTAGGTAAAGTTTTGGTATTACCATGATATTGGGGTCAGGATATCACCAAATTCTTTCCTTGTTATTTGATCCTTATGTTTAAGGATTCCTAAGGACATTGTACATGCTACAGATGTTATCAGAAGAAGTTACATTTTAATGGGTGACTTCACTAGCACAATAACAATAGCAGGTATTTCAAAATGTCTAACATGCATCATGCAGTTTAGGCTTGCCATGTAATCCGGCCTCGTATACTTCCTCTACATTTTGGAATAGGCCTATCTGAGTGATGTTCAGGGTACTATTCAGAGAAAGAATGGCCTAGGTTGACAGATTAGTCCAAGTTCCCACCCAGCCAGGTAGATTTAGAGAAAGAGAAAAAAAGCAGCCTCCCCTGCTGGACTGGGCCCAGCCAGTGTCTGAAACAGGAAGATTAAAGAGAAAGGATGGAGATAGATCCTGACCTGAAGGTGAATCCTATGCTGTATAAAATGTGGCCCCACAAGGACGCAGCCCTAACTATGAGATTAACAACTCCACCCAGTGGAGGCAGCAGAAGGAAATATAGGAAAGGGTCAAACAGAAGGAAGCCAGGCAGGGGAACAGGTTCAGATGCCCCCTCCGTAGAACATAGTAGAAACATATTTTCTTTTATATAGAATAAAATGATGACATAGGTGTATTTGTCAATTACTTTTTAGTTCCGTATTATCTGATATAGTCTTCTTGTAATGACCTATACTAACATTTTTGCTGAAAACTCAGTTATTTTAATACTGATATAACAAGTAAAAGTTAAACACTGTAAATTATTCTTCAGTTGATGAGGATTGCTTGGGAGTTCCAAAATTAGTAACTTAAACATAAAAATGTCTTGGCTATAATAGAACATATTAATCACTATTGTCAAAGCTTTGTAGCACATTGTCTAAGTGTTAACAATCATTTGACCAAATTCAGAAAAATACAATTTTGAATTTATTCAACAGCTATATCTTTATTTATGAATAAGATTCCTTATTTCAGTGCTGAAAAAACAACCAAAATTAGCAATACTGATAATAGTCTGAATTTGTCTCAAAAATTTTCCCTTGAAATTTCTCCTGGAAGTAGTGCTTGATAATTCATAATTCCAAAGAACTTATACATGCTACCTTTGTAGCATTAATTTATTTCTTATAAGTAGCTTATTTTATCTACTTGCATTTTTATCAATCAGAGGACACCAGACTCTAATATAATAACTTACAGACAAGCAGAAATACATGAACTACTTCCCATGTTACTAAAAAATGAATAAATTAATACTTAATTTGGAAGATGAAAACTAGTATAAATACATAAAATAACACAGGTCAATACTAGATTGTTACTGCTTTTTCTCACTAGAATTATAATGACTATTTAAATTTTTTATACATATAATTTTTTAGAATTATGTGTTTAAAATTAATTTTATTTTTTAACATTTAAGTTCAGGGGTACAGGTGCAGCTTTGTTACATAGATAAACTTGTGTCATGAGGGTTTGTTTTACAGATTGTTTTCTCACCCTGGCATTAAGACCAGTACCCATTAGTTATTTTACATGATCTTCTCTCTCCTCCTGCCCTGCAGCCTCCAATACACCCCAGTGTATGTTGTTCCCTGCTCTGTTTCCATGTGTGCCGAGACCAGCTAAGTCGGGGAGACCCTAATCCAGTGGTGCCAGAGGAATTAAAGACACACACACAGAAATATAGAGGTGTAAAGTGGGAAATCAGGGGTCTCACAGCCTTCAAAGCTGAGAGCCCCAGAGATTTACCCACGTATTTATTAACAGCGAGCCAGGCATTAGCATTCTATCTATAAATATTCAATTAACTAAAAGTATCCCTTATGGGAAATGGGATTAACTAAAAGCATCCCTTATGGGAAATGAAGGGATGGGCCAAAATAAAGGAATAGGTTGGGTTAGTTAACTGCCGCAGGAGCATGTCCTTAAGGCACAGATTGCTCATGCTATTGTTTGTGGCTTAAGAATGCCTTTAAGCAGTTTTCCACCCTGGGCAGGACAGGTGTTCCTTGCCCTCATTCTGGTAAACCCACAATCTTCCAGCATGGGCATTATGGCCATCATGAACATGTCACGGTGCTGCACAGATTTTGTTTATGGCCGTTTTGGGGCCAGTTTATGGCCAGATTTTGGGAGGCCTGTTCCCAACACATGTGTTCTCATCTTTTAGTTTCCACTTTATAGTGAGAACATGTGGTATTTGGATTTCTGTTTCTATGCTAGTTTGCTAAGGATAACGGCCTCCAGTTCCATCTATGTCCCTGTAAAATACAAAATCTTGTTTTTTGTTTATGGCTGCATAATATTCCACGGTGTATATGAACCCCATTGTGTTTTCTTTATTCAGTCAATCATTGATGGGCATTAAGGTTGATACCATGTCTTTACTATTGTGAATACTACTGCTATTAATAAACGTGTATGTGACTTTATAAGAAAATGATTCATCATCCTTTGGATATATACCCACTAATGGGATTGGTGAGTTGAATTGTATTTTAGCCTCTAGGTTTTTGAGGAAGTGCCACACAGTCTTCCACAATGGTTGAACCAACTTACACTCCCATTAACAGAGTATAAGCATTCCTTATTCTACACAATCTCACTAGCATATATTATCTTTTGGGTTAATAATACCCATTATGACTGGTGCAAGATAGTATCTACTGTGATTTTGATTTGCTTTTCTCTAATGAGCAGTGATGGTAAGCTTTTTTTCATGTGATGGTTGGCCACACGTAGGTCTTCTTTTGAAAAGCATAACAATTTTTTAAATACTTCAACTTTTCATTGATAATCTCATTTTTCTAAGCTATTATTTGGAAAATCTTGATTTCCTTATATACTTAACTAATTATAAAAGTTAAGAAAATGAAATGTTAGCATTCTGTTTACATCAGTCTTTGAGTAGTTTTATTACCTAACATCCCCTGCTCTCATTCTTAATCTCTTTAGAGTTCTAACATTCTATAACTTTGGAGTTCTACTCATGGAATAAGACATTTTCTTTACTGTAACAGGTTCTGTGGAGATTTGATGGAAATAAACCACATGCTTTAGGACTCAATACTTGGGTGTACAAGTGGATACCACAGAATGACCTTCTTGGTATGACTCTGGAGTACAAATACTGAATGTATTAGTAATATCCCATTAGAGTATTAATAATTAATCATGAAATAAGCTTATTGAAAATGCATTATGGAAAAACTTAAAAATAAAATGCAACTACATTATATTTATTTTGCAGTCCTATGGGGAAAATAATAAGCTATAATTGTTGGCATTTTATGATATACATTCACCTTCTTTATGGTCAGAATCAGAGTATTTTTATTTCAGGTGTTATTATGTCTCACAGAATTTTTTGTAACTTCATAGATCGTCTTTGTCTCCTATTTCTATAACTTTACACTTGTTCTTTCTTTTTATGCAGGGTTATTTCAAAAATAACAGCTCTTCTGCTATCACCAGTGACTCTGCATTTTCTGTAGTATTAAATTCCTAATCTTAATCATAAAGTGATGACACATTTTGTGATGAAGTGTGACCTGTCCTTCCTCAATCCTAGCACCACCACCACCCCACTGCCTGCTGCCTTGCACATCTCACATATCACATTCTATGACTGCACTTAGGAGAACACATTCTTACATGTCCATCTCTTTTCTTTGCTGCTCTTTTTTTTTTTTTTTTTGCACATTTTATTTAGATTGCGCTTTTTCTTTAGTCTAACTGGTAATCTTGTTTAACTATTTTTCAGTCTGAAGTCACACACACCATACAGCTTTCACTTACATCTCCAGCATAAGTGCTCCTTCCTCTGAAGTCTGAAACAGAAATTTTAATTTAGTTCAATGTTTTAGCTAGAAAATACTGTCACTTGAGTCTTTAGTTGTGCATTTCTCATTTTATTCCTATGAATAATTTTGCTAAAATTCATCCAATCCTAGGTCATCCAAAAACCAGGGCTTTTGTAACTCATGGTGGATCCAATGGCATCTACGAGGTGACCTACCATGGGATTCCTATAATGGGGATTCCACTGTTTGCGGATCAACCTGATAACATTTCTCACATGAAGGCCAAGGGCACAGCTATTAGATTGGACTTCCACACGATGTCAAGTACAGACTTGTTCAATGCATGAAGCCAATAATTAATGACCCTTTGTGAGTATAACAATATTTTTTCACTAGGTGGTATTTATAGATACCTTATCTTCTCAATAGTATGAGTTTCATCCTTTTTTCAAGAGACTAATTTTGAAAGAATTTAAATGATGTAACCAATCTGAAATCTTCTTTTATTTTTGAGCAGTTATTAAAGAATTGTGTTTTCAACTCCACACATTTAATGGGTATCCAATTAGTGAAACAATTTTCTGCACAAAAATAATTTTAAAGTAATATAGAGAATATAAAAAAGACAGTTTTAAAGAAATTATATGATCAATCCACAGTAGAAAGGAAGGATAAACTTGAAGAAATATGATAAAATACTTTAATTAAATATCTAAAATGTCTAACAGTATAACTGTTTTCTTGCTGAAAAATTCATTTTTATTGTTTTCATTATTGTAACTGGCTTGATAATTAGATATAATTTCCATGACTTAAAACCCACCTATTTAAAGTGTAAAATTCCAATATATTTAGAATGCTTATGAGTCATGAAGCCATTGAGAATCATACAGTTTGGGGTGTTGTGTAAATGACTTCTTTCACTGAGCATAATTTTTTGTTTTTTTAAAATAGTTTTTAGATTAATTCATGTTGTAGTGTACATTAATACCTCATTTATTCTTACAGCACTATAATATTTTACAGTATGGATATGTCATATTTTATTTGTTCACTTATCAGTTCGTTGGCCTTTTGATTGTTTCCAATTGTGGCTATTAGGAACATTGCTGCACATATTTTTGCATAAACATGCTTTTCTTTCTTTTGGGTTGATACTATAAGTGGTATTGCTGGCTTATGTGGGAACTGCATGTTTATGAAGAACTGCTAAACTGTTTTCCAAAGTACTTGTTCCATTTGTCATTACCACCAACAGTACAAGAGGGTTCAAATTCCTCCACATTGTTGCCAACACCTGTTATTATCTTTTTGTTATAGCTTTCTTAATGAGTGTGAAATGATCTTTCATTGTGGTTTTGGATTGGATTTTAGGTGGATTACGGCTAAAAATGTTGAGCATCGTTATATGTGCTTATTGACCATATCTCTTCTTTGGAAAAATGCCTATTCCAATCCTTGGAACATTTTTAAATTTTGCTACTCATCTTATTATTGAGTATTAAGAACTATTTTATATTTGGATATAATCTTATATCAGATATACAATTTTCAAATATTTCGTTTCATTCTGGGTGTGCTAACATTTTACTTTTTTGTTGATGGTTTTTGAAGAACAAAAATTTTAATTTTAATAAGTTAAATTTTTAGTAATTGATTTATTTATACTCCATAGGATGCAATGTGCAAAATGCCTACCCAGTCCAGCTACCATCCATTCAGCATTTATAACTGCTGTCAATAATATTTTTATGTAAGAAAGATGTCACCTAAAGGAATACTTTTAAAACAGGTTGTACCATGAAACAGGTTGGACCAATATAAAAGAAACATCAAACAACGTGGTTTATTTAAATGTGAATATACAGATACTTCCATTAAATCTAAACAGACTTTAAAAAGAGAAGCAAATAATGAATAAGGACATAAAACGTTAGAAGAACACAGTTAACAAATGGAAACTTATAATGTAACATGATACACACACGCATATATATACATATATATATATGCACACACACATATGTACTATATATGTCAACTGGAAGACACATTTTCTTAGAGCATGTTGAATTATTAATAGTTATTTGAAGTGACTTGTGGTGGGCCATAAATCAAGACTCAGTAAATTTGAAAAGATTCAATATCATAAAGAGTAAATGATTCAGCCTAAGTGGAAGTAAGGGATATTGGAAAAATGATAACTAAAATACTTTTAATTTTGGAAATTAAAAATATACACTTCAAAAAATTTAAAGCTCCACCTCAGACTCCTGAGTAGCTGGGAATACAAGCATGCACCACCATGCCTGGCCAATTTTGTATTTTTAGTAGAGATGAGGTTTCACTGTGTTGGTCAGACTGGTCTCGAATTCCTGACCTCAGATCATCCACCCGCCTTGGCATCCCAAAGTGCTGGGATTACAGGCGTGAGCCATCGCTTGAACCTCGGAGGCAGAGGATGCAGTGAGCCAAGATCATGCCATCACACTCCTGCCTGGGCAACAAGAGCAAACCTCCGTTTCAAAAAAATAAAAATAAAAATAAATTTAAAAGTTTAAAGAATTAAAAATAAAAAAAAAGTCAAGAAGTGAATGATAATTATGCATGCACTTTTATCTCAGCAATTCTACTTTTAATTATATGCCCAACAGATATGTATAAATATGTAAACCTTGTGCTATATATGACATGGACAGGAAACAGGAAAATACTGGGTAGAAGAGGTCAGTTCCCCAGCAGAGGTCCCACCCTCAAGCCTGAAAACTCATGGCCATAAATGAGAACAGACATTCTGTTTTTGAGCCCCCAAAAGTTGCCTTTTGGCCCACAATGCCCCCCTATTCTGTACCCATATAAACCCCAAACACCCAGCATGAACAGAAGAGCAGAAGGATGGCAGAATGGTGCATCAGAGAGAAGAGAAGGAGTTTCTGAATGCCAAGAGTAGTTCAGCTGGAGACAGTTGGAAAAGAGAGGAGATTGGATGCTGGATGGCCAAACCCCAGTGGAAGATCATCTTCCCATTCCATCACCATTCCAGCTCCCCATTCATCTCAATGAGAGCCACCTCCACCACTCTATAAAACCCATGCATTCATCCTTCAAGTCCGTGTGCGACCTGATTCTTCCTGGATGCTGGACAAGGACCTGAGTACTAACAGGGCACTGAACTGGTTAACACTTAAGCCATCAGTACATGGCAAGGCTAAAAGAGTACACTAACACATACCCACTTGGGCTTCAGGAGCTGCAGACAACCACCCCTGGATGCTGCCGTGGGAACACAGTCCAGGGGCGCTTGCCCAGGCTCCCGCACCTGCCTGTCTGCATGCTCCCCCTCCCATAACGGGCTTGAACATGAATGGGGGCTGAACAGATGAGCCACACAGCTGTCGCACATCTTGTGAGGGGAGGCGCAGAACTCTTGCATTTCATATACAACAATGTTTATAACAGAATTATTAATATTGTTCAAAAATCGTTAGCAACCCCAATGTCTATTGGTCATAAAATGATGACATAATCTGTGGTTTAGCAATCAACAAAATACTACACAGCAATGGAATTAAATAACAACTGCTATACAAAATTTTAAAAAATAGACTCTAATGAATGTATGTTATATAATTCAATTACATAAATAAAGAAAACTAATGTATTATATTTGAAGTCAGACTAATATTTAACTGAAGGATAAAAGTAGTGACTAAATGGTTCAGGAAAAGAGAGTTATTCTAGACAGGTTGTGGTATCATATATCATGATCTGAACAGTAGGGAAATTGGTATCTTCTCTTCAAGATAATGTTCAAGATGATCTAATACTTGTGACCTATTCACTTAGTGTGTGTATATTTATCTTTTGGTTTTAATATTCAAAGATTTATTTTATAAGTTATATAATGTATTTAAAATTCTAGGAATCAAATATCAAAATAAGCATAAAACAATAGAGAAAATCCTAGAGGTTCCATCATAGTGTGGCCAGGAAAACCTCGCTTAGAGGTAACACTTAGAGGGAAGCCTCAAAAAGAGATAGAAGCATGCCTTGGGTTGTTGCAAGAAAGAATGCTCCAAGAGTGTGACAGAGGGGGCAAAATGTTTAAAGATGCTATGGTGAGGATACTTTTGGGAACTTAAAGAAAAATAGAAGGGCAATGTCTCTAGAAGACCTAGTGTGCATGGAAAAAGTGTTAGGAGAAGAGCTTGCCAGTGTTTGACATTGCAGGGTCCTGTAGACCAAATAACAGAGTTGGATTTTATTTTTAATATGATAAGAAGTCAGGCAAAAATCTTAATCAGGAGAGTGGCAAAATCTGACTTTTATTTCAAAAATATAATTCTGGCTGCTGGGTAGGAAACAGTAGGAGAGAAAAGGGTAGGGTAGAAGCAGAGTGACTAGCTATGAGGCATTTCACTCACCATGACACAATTCCTTTTTGGAACTTAAAAATGATAATTGTATTTTCACTATCTTTCCTAAAGGACTTAAAATTGCTCACAATGTTGAGCACGTTCTCATTTGCCTGTTTGAGAACTAAAAGAGTATAATTGGATTGTTCATAACAGAAAGGATAAATGCTTAAGGAACAATACCTTATTCTCCATGGTGTGATTATTTTACATTGCAGCCTGTATCAAAACATCTCACTCAACCCATAAATATATACACCTACTAAGTACCCAAAAAAACTGAAAATTAACAAACTAACAAATAATAATGAAATGGCTCATATTTGCTTTGCCTGAAAGAAATTAGTTTTCTCACTTGGCTTTCCATTTTTACCTTAAAAATATTTGTCAATGATAAAATTCCAATTTAAAAGCCAAAGTTTCTATGATGATTCAAATTAAATTACTCAAATTCTATGTCAATTCTATGACATTTACTTTGAATCATTTGACACTTTAAAAACCTTTCATGGGCTGGATGCAGTGGCTCACGCCTGTAATCCCAGCACTTCGGGAGGCCGAGATGGATGGGTCACCTGAGGTCAGGAGTTTGAGACTAGCCTGGCTAACAGGGAAAAACCCCGTCTCTACTAAAAATGTAAAAATTAGCCAGGTGTGTTGGTGTATGCCTGTAATCCCAGCTACTCGGGAGGCTGAGGCAGGAAAATCTCTTGACCCCAAAGGAGGCGGAGGTTGCAGTGAGCCGAGATTGCGCCACTACACTCCAGCCCGGGCGACAGAGTAAGACTCCATCTCAATAAATAAGTAAATAAATAAATAAATAAATAAGCAAAATAAAAACCTTATATGGACTTGATATGCTCAAGCAAATTAACTTACTTTCAATTTTGGTATCTCTACATTTATCCTTCAGATATAAAGAGAACATTATAAAGTTATCAAGAATTTATCATGATCAACCAGTGAAGCCCCTGGATCGAGCAGTCTTCTGGATTGAATTTGTCATGTGCCATAAAGGAGCCAAACACCTTCAGGTTGCAGCCCGTGACCTCACCTGGTTCCAGTACCACTCTTTGGATATGATTGGGTTCCTGCTGGACTATGTGGCAACTGTGATATTTATCATCACAAAATGTTGTATGTTTTGTGTCTGGAAGTTTGCTAGAACTGGAAAGAAGGGAAAAAGAGATTAGCTGTAGTTGTATTTGAAGCTTGAAGCTAGGAAACCTGATAGACGAGACTTCTTCAGTTTATTCTAACAAGAAAGGTTATGAAGCAAGATTCCTTTCTTTCTGTGACAGAAAATCTCTTCAAAACTTACTTACCTTGTCAAATAAAAATTTGTTTTTCAGAGATTTAATACCTTAGAAATACTTTTTGTTGAGAAGGAAAGTACTAGCGAAATTATAAAATAGTATAAAGCCATATGAACTTGTATTTAAATTTGTCGAGCTTATATTGAAATGTGTTGCTCCCATTCACAGGTTACATGAAAACATTTTTACTGAGCTTAAGTACATTTCACATATTGTACTTAAACACAAGAGTATTAAGAGTATCGGTACTGTTTTGCAAATACTCAGAATACTTTGGCTTCATTTTAAGCAGGATTTTCATATTTTAACTGTTGCTAAAGGAACTGTTAAACAATTGAATTGTATAAAAAATGTCTCTCTTGCTTTTGCTATTTTGAGATGAGTACTGCTGCTTGGCTCTTACGGTGCATACTGCTTAAGTGTCAGTTTTTTTCCTAAAAGTTATGGCAAAATGTTTAACTTTTTAGAGCTTTAGTCATTTCGCAGTGGAATGTATATGGAATTAGAAATACAGCAACTGCTACCTGCTTCCTACGGTAATATTGAACTATTTTACAAAGTCTTTTGCTCTATGAACCAATTCAGACTTTCCATATGATACCAAGAAAATCAATACATGTTTGTCCAAAAAATAAAACAAATTAAAAATGAAGAAATGAGTGAGTGAGTGGTGGAAAGAACACGGGGCTAAAAGTCAGGAAAGCTGGGGTCCAGTCCCACCCTTCTGCTGAGCCAGTCTTTCACCGTGAGCCTCAGTTTACCCATTTTTTTCTGGTCATTTAAAAATATTCATCTGGTCGATTTTATTCTTACATTTTAAATTATTTCAAGAGACTTTAGGGAACAGGTGGTGTTTGATTAGATGGATAAATTCCTTAGTTGTGATTTCTGAAATTTTGGCACACCCATTACCCGAGCAGTGTACACAGCACCCAACGTGTAGTCTTTTATCCCTCTTCTCACTCTGACCCTTCCCTGAGTCCTGAGAGTCCATTGTATTATTCTTATGCCTTTGCATTTTCATAGCTTAGCTCCCACTTGTAAGTGAGAAGTTAAAATATTTGGTTACCTAATCCTGAATTACTTCACTTAGAATAATGGTCTCCAGCTGCATCCAGGTTGCTATGAATGGCATTATTTTGTTCCTTTTTATGGCTGAGTAGTATTCCACGGTGTGTGTGTGTGTGTATACCACATTTTTTTAATACACCCATTGCTTGATGGGCATTTAGGTTTGTTCCATATTTTTACAATTGGGAATTGTACTGCTGTAAAGATGTGTGTGCATGAGTCTTTGCATATAATGACTTCTTTTTTTATGGGTAGATACCCAGTAATAGGATAGGTGGGTAAAAATGTAGATCTACTTTTAGTTCTTTAAGGAATCTCCATACTGTTTTCTGTAGTGGTTGTGCTAGTTTATGTGTTTCCTTTTACCACATCCATGCCAATATTATATTATTTTGGGGTTTTTTAATGATGTCCATTCTTACAGGAGGACAGTGGTATTGCATTGTGGTTTTGATTTGCATTTCCATGATAATTAGTGATGTTGAGCATTTTTTTCTGTTTGTTGGCCATTTGTATATTTTCTTTTGAGAATTGTCAATTCATGATCTTAGCCTACTTTTTGATCATATTATTTGTTTTCCTCTTGTCGATTTGTTCAAACTCTTTGTAGATTCTGAATATTAGTCATTTGTCAGATGCATAGTTTGTGAATATTTTCTCCCACTCTGTGAGTTGTCTGTTTACTCAGCTGATTATTTCTTTTGCTGTGCAGAAGATTTTTAGTTTAAGTCACGTCGATCTATGTTTGTTTTTGTTGTATTTGCTTTTGGGTTCTTGGTCATGAAGTCCTTGTCTAAGCCAATGTCTAGAAAAGACTTTCTGATGTTATCTTCTAGAATTTTTATTGTTTCAGGTCTTAGATTTAATTCCTTCATCTATCTTATAAGGTGAGAGATGTGAATTCAGTACCATTCTACTACATGTGGCTTGTCAATTATCCCAGCACCAATGGTTGAATAGGCTGTCCTTTCTCCGCTTTATGTTTTTGTTTGTTTTGTCAAAGATCAGATGGCTATAAGTATTCAATTTTATTTCTGGATTCTCTATGTTGTTCCATTGGTCTACATGTCTGTTTTTATACCTTTGCCATCATGTTTCAGTAGCTACAGCTCTGTAGTAGTTTGAAGTTGGGTAATGTGATACCTCCAGATTTGTTCTTTTTGCTTAGTCTTGCTTTGGCTATGCAGACTTCAAGCTGAGAATCAAATCAAGAATTCAACCCTTTTCACAGCAGCTGAATCAAAAAGAAAAAGAAAAACATAAAATACTTAGAAATATACCCAAACAAGAAGGTAAAAAACCGCTACTAAGAAAACTACAAAATACTTCCCAAAAATATCATAGATGACACAAACAAATGGAAACACCTCCCATGCTCATGGATGGGTAAAATCAATTTTATGAAAATGACCATACAGCCAAAAGCAATCTATGAATTCAATGCAATTCTCATCAACATACGATCATCATTCTTAACAGAACTAGAAAAAAAATCCTAAATTTCATATAGGTTTTATTCTCATTTTTGTCCTTTAATAGAAAATATAAGTTCTTAATATTAGTTTGTGATAATATAAGAAATGCATTCTAAAGGTACTTAGTGAATTTTCAATCCTGTTAAACATGCATGTACATATACATGTCCATTTCTTTTGAAACACAACACAGCATCACTTAACTATCTAATAGGTATGTCGTGAAATGTGTTTATTGAAGACAGTTTGAAATAATAATTATTATTCTACATAACTATAAATGATCATGATTAATTTTTTTTCTTTTTTCCACAGTCTTTTGATCCTTCCCTCCTATAAATATAATATGGCAACACTAAATTTTTTATCATAACAAAAATATATCTACAAAGAATACAAAAAGTTTATAAATTTTGTGGAAAATAGCTAAATCAAGACATAAACCTCCTTTAATCTGCACATCAGGAAAGCACTTTATGATCAAACTGGTCCAAATTGACAGAAACCTAGTTGTCTTTGTTGATCAGAAGTCCCATAAGTAACCAAGACTCACAACAAATATTCTTGAGCCTAAGTCATGATTTAAATACATATCACTATATATATATATATATATATACACACATACACACACACATACAAACACACACACATATATATCACTATATATGTAGATTTGTATTTGTATGCATATATATATAAATCATGTTATACACAAACACACTAAAACATTGATGTTAAAGAAATTATAGGAAGCATTGATAAGAGAATATTTTATACAAATTATCTAGCTATTGATACATTTATAAAGAAAAACAGAAATAATAAGGTGGTAAATGTTAATAATTTTTGTTATCATTCTTATAAGCCTGAATTAATTCACATTAAACCTATTCTACATCATACTTAAAAGATGGATATCTATTGTTTAGTGAGAACTACAATCACCAACCAAAAAAGGGAAATGTTCCAATATAAAAACTTAATGAAAATATAAATAGGCACTTCAAAGCAAAATCACTGAAAACATATGAAAGATTATAAAGTACCTGATGCTCAGGAAAATAGAAACAATGGAAAATTAATGCTGTAAAGATTTGCAACCTATAAAAACCTGAGAAATCTATTTTTGCGGGAGTATAATGTGAAATAACCTTCTAAAATAAAATGTCAATATACAGTTTGAAACTGAAGTTCTACATCTAGAAACCTGTCATGCAGAAATCCTTCCATATAAGCACATGTATGAACAGAATATTTCCTCCAGCACTTAAATGGCTCCAGTCAATGAACACACATACCTCCAACAAATGTGTGAGTGTAGCCATTGTAGGGAACAGTTTATTCCACTGCTAAATAGAAAAAATAGTTTCCAGAAAAAAAAAGCCTTCCTTGCAATGAAATAAAATAAAATATATGTAAACTTGTACAAGGAAAAACAAATCTAGCAGAGTACACATAAATCCAAGGATGGGAATTTTAGATTTTATTCTACAGAATTCTGCAGCATTTAACTTTTTACAATATTTTCATATATTATTTATGAGGTTCAAAAATTAATTTGTGAAATAAATACATAAAATCAATACAGGAAGCTCTAAAAATTAACATCTCTTTATTAATTCATTAGTGTTATTCAAAAAATTTGAATTGATCAGGTTTCTCACATGCTATTTCATTCATTTGCAGCTTTTTTTTTAGAACACTGGTTCCATGTTTAAAATACCTATGGATAAATATAACACAATGTTTAAAAAATTGCAAGAACTGTAGAAATCTAAATTCACAAAATTTTTGTATTTTCTTTTATTATATTTAATATTTTATAAATCTTACAATTGCTTAATAACTTCTGCTGTCTTCTTCAAAATGTTAGAATGGTTGTGATTTTGTGACATGACTATAAATACTTTGACAATTTTCCTGTCAAGTAATATCCCCTCCCTTTGAAGTTTGGCAGACCTTGTAGCTGCCTCAACAAAAAAGATGCAGTGGAAATAATGCAGATTAACTTTCAAAGTTCTGTTGGAAACAACATGTTCCCTCTCCGCTTCTCTCTCTCTCTTTCTATCTTTTGTTTTTATGTCTCTTTTTCTCTCCACATCTCCTCAATTCAATATGTAGTCCCCATAATAAATGACAATTTGGCAGAGAGACACAAATATATGCCTAAGAAATCCTGGTAGCCCACTAGTACTTTGAGCCTTTCAACCTGAATCATTAAGTATGTAAGTGAATGATCTTCAGATAATTATAGACCGAGGCACCATAGGAAAGTAGCTACCTAAGAAACTTTGTGGAAGGAACACATAACTGAGCCCAACCAACACACAGATTCTGAGAGATGGTAATAAAATGATTACAGTTATTTTAAGGCCTGACATTTGAAAACAATTTTTCATGCAGTGATACATAACTGGAATAATAGTTCTAAACATTTTAAATTATACATTTGTAATAAAATTACAATTAATATATAGCTACATAAGTGAAAAATAGGGAATATTATATTTTGAAAATATCTGTACCCCAAATAGAAGAGTCAGCATAACGTGGTGGTTAAGAGCTGGCACTCTGGATCCAGATGGCCTGGATTCAAGCCTCTGAGAAACCACTACATAATGATGTGGGGCTGGACAAGTTACTTGGACTTTATTTGCTTCAACTTCCTCACCAATGAAATGGCAGTGGTTGTCATAGCATTACCGACCTCATGGGGTTGCTGAAAGAATGAATTCATTAATATTTCAAAGCACCAAAACAACTGTATATACAGCAAAGTAAAATTTTGTGTAATCTTGAATGTGGCAAGGTTTTTAGATATGACACCAGAAGAAGAAGCAACCAAAATAAAATTGATAAATTAGATTTCATCAAAATTAAAATTTTTACACATTAAAGAACACCATCAATAAGGTCAAAAGAGAAACCAGAGTTTGAAGTACATATTTACAAGTTACATACCTGATAAGTGACTTATATAAAAAATATATAAAGAAAGCTTACAGCTCAATGTTAAAAAGACAAATAATTTAATCAAAAAATGTTTAAAAGATCTAAACAGGAATTTTACCAAGGAATATTTAAATGTCCAATAAGAACATGAAAAAATGTTTTGTGTTGGATTATATAGTTGAGAGAAATATATAACGTCTTCTCAATCACAAGTAACTTTTCCTTTGTGCTCATAGGCAGAGAAATAAATTCTCATGACTAAACAGAAAAGCTGCCTGGAATGAGCACAAGTTATTTGGCAGAACTATAACAATACAAAATTAAAGATAAATAAACAAATAACATTAGTCTTCCTAAGAATCCATATTAGTGTTTAAAATATTATAAATGAAGAGTCTGTGTCCCATATTTTTTAACAGTATCTTTCCCCATTACTGTATAAGATGCTATTTTAATTATTATTATATGTACTAAGTCAAACACACACACACACACACACACACACACACACAGTTGCATGACTATGCATTAATAATAGAAGAAATGTATGTTGTAGCACCTAACTCCTTCCAAAGGAACTGAGTGATGAGGTTTGTTTAAAAAATTGGTCCTATTGAAAACAGTATGGAAGTTTCTCAAAAAATTTAATGTAAGATTACCATATGATGCAGCAATCCCCCTTCTGGATATTTATCCATAAGAATTAAAATCAGGCTCTCAAAGGCATATTTGCGCATCCATATTCATAACAGTACAATCCCAGCATCTACCAAGGAATGAACAGACAGACACTATGTGGTTTATGCTACAATGTGGATGAAACTTGGTATCATTAGGCTAAGTTAATAAGTCACAAAAAGACAAACACTGTAATTCCTCTTTATAAGGTATCTAAACTAGTCAAATTCATTAAAAAAAAAAAAAGAAAAGAAAAGAAAGTAGAATGGTGGCTACCACGTGAAAAGGACTCCATAAAATAAAAAGTTGTTGTTTAATCAGCATAGAGTTTTAACTTTAAAGCAGAAAAAGTTCTGGAGATTGGTTGCTTAAGATTGTGTACCTAGCAGTACTATGTGTACACTTAGAAGTGCTTAAGTTGGAAAATTTCATATTATGTATGTTTTATCATAGCTTCTACTCCAGCAATTCCAGCTAATATTTGATATCTCATCCTTATTTGCTCATAGCATTCTTTTCAATAGTGTTTGCTGTGTTATTGCTCTTTTGTGATGGAGCAAATTCTTTCTTCATAGGAAATGGACATTTTCCCAGAGCTCTGGAGAAAATAGCATTGCAGTGTTTTGTCTGGGATCGATGGTTGATAACATTACAGAAGAAAAGGCTGATGTGATTGCATCAGCCCTTGCCCAGATCCCACAAAATATTAAATACAGTGCCATAATGTTGGAAAACTAAGAGTCTTAAATTCTATAAAGAGTTAAAGGGTGAAAATTTTCTCCCTGAAAAGTTAACATTTAGGATAATTTAATTTACTGAGATTGAGGCAGGAAATTAAAGAAAGAAAGAAAAATAAAATTAAAAAGAGAAATAGGCTTTCCTGTATTAGGCTAACTAGTCCCAGAGGCAGCAATGGGTGCAGCCCAGACCCAGGGAAATTCTTAATACTATCTAAAAAGCCAGGACACACACCAAAGAAATGTGGTCTGGTGACTCTCTCAGCACTCCTTCAACATAGGGAGAAGAAAAACAAATTTTCCTCTGTTTTATGGTATGACTTTACAGATTCTTGTTCTCTGTAACTAGTAACCTCAAGATTTCTGCTTTATCTAAAAAGCACAGCAAAGGTCCTGAGAAGTCTGAGTACGCCTGAACTACAGCTGTCTGGGCACCATAGTGAAGGTTATAAGATAAACCAGTGCAAGGCTCTTTTGAGCAAAACCTAGATAACAGTCATCTAGGTTGCATAGCAATAGTCATGTGTAATCCTGGGTTATGAACCTGTCACAATTTTATTAATTGTTCTCCTTCTGTATCCCTGCTTTCGTGCCACCGTAAGCCTGCACCAAGTTAGCCCACCCCTTTTTTAAAGTGTGTATAAAAGTCAAGTGCTGTCTTTGTTGGGGGCCCCATCTTTGGATGGTAAGTCCGTTGGGTCTGAGTGTACTCAATAAAGATATCCTCCTCTATATACCCCAAGGTCTCTCTCGGGTCCTCCTGATCCGCTACACACCTGGTGACCCACATGGGACTGAGAGACTGCAGCTTGGCTGGCTTCTTTGCCTGTGGGCGGTCTGGGGCCTCGGCTGTGGGAGACCCTTAACTTCAGGACCCATCAAGGGAACTTAAGCCCAGAGAAAGGAGCTGTTCTCCCGCGTCCCCGGTGCCCCTCCCCTGACAGCACAAGGGAACCCGGAGGGGTTGCAGGACGGTTCCAGGAATGGCGCCCTTTCTTCAGAACCATGGTAAAGTTTTGGGGCCCAAGGCAGGACCTATCCCATAAGGACAGAAGGGGAGCCTGATCACCTCCCAGGGAGTGACAACTAATCCAACACAGAGAGGCTGGGGGACGGTGAGAGTGGCTCACAAATTTGGATGAAACTCACACCCCAACCAACACAGGACGCGAGAGTGGCTCGCTAAGTTAGTTCAGAAGGAAACTGGATGCAGTGAGAGCGGTTCACTGCCCCAACCAGGATAGGGAACTGGGAGCGGGGAAGTGTGTGAGTGCGTGTGAAAGAGACAGTTCTGGGAGGAACCAACGGGAATGACATGTGTGGAGCTGCTGATCTCTTAGTGTAGGCTGTACGCTCCGAGCAAAATGTAGGACCAACCGGGTCCAATCGGTCTAAAACAAAAGGAAAGGTGAATGTGCTGCATCATAACTGGGAGGAAATGGGAGGAAAATCGTGGAAACCCACCCCATTGGAATGTATGTTAAAGAACTTTAAGAAAGGCTTTGCAGGGGTTGAGGGAGTCAAGTTAACCCCTCAGATGCTGAGAGCTCTCTGTGAATTAGAATAGCCCTTTTTTGGTGTTGGCTGGCCTGCCAAATGTGCTACAGATAGGGAGAAAATTGGCCGTGTGTTTAAGGTGGTGACCTGAGTTGGAGGACAGTCAGATAATTCAGACCAAATTTCCTTATATTAACTCATGGCTGAATGCAGCCCTGTTTAGCAGCTTATTGAAGAATGCTCACAGCTCAAGCCAAGAGAAATCAATTGTGCTGCCAGCTACAAAGACAAAGTGAAAGCTTCGCCTGTAAACAGAGTTAAAGGGAAAGTCACAGGAGCTTGTAGCGTGAGCAAACAGAGACAAAAAGAAAGCCACAGGAAAAACCAGTTTTTCAAGAACCACTGGAGGGAAAAGAGACCCCTCCTCCATATGTTCCAATCTACCCCCGCTTTCCCCAGGTTAACTGCCTCTGAGGAGTCAAGCTCAAATGGATACATGCCCCCAGTCTCTCTTGAGAGGGAAAAATCTGAGCCCTCACTCCAGGAAGTTAAGGTGAAATGCTAGGAAAAACAGGCAAGCCACCTCCAGTCAGGTTGTGTTAGGGCTATGCAAATGCCTCTCCTGGAAACTAGAGGACCCCCACTAGAACCCAAAGGAATGAGGCAGCCCAACTATAGCAGCTGCCAAGATACCAAGAGGCACTCCTGCAAAATTTAAGGGAAGGCGGGAGACAGGCAATCAATATAGGAAAAATCTCAGAGGGGCATCAGGGTGCAGATGAAAGCCCCAGCCATTTTTATAAAAGACTTGGTGAGGCCAGTGCATGATGAACATGGCATTTGTAGAGCAGGCCCAGGGGGATATCCAGTGAAAATTGCAGAAAATGGAAGGTTTTAAAGGGATGAATGCTACTCAGCTTATTGAAGTGGCCACGAAGGTGTACATTAACCAAGATCAGGAGGCAAAGAGGGAGGCTAATAGAAGGCTTGAGAAAAAGGCTGATTTGCTGGCAGCATCCCTCATGGATGTGGGTATGGACATGGGCATGGAAGAGGCCAGTCTGGACAGGGATTTGAGGGCCAGCCGAGGCTGGAAAGAGATCAGTGTGAGCGGTGCAAAAGAAAAGGACACTGGAAGGATGAGTGTCCAGAGAATAATAACAAGGAGGACAGTCAGGGCATTCAGACCAAATTTCCTTATGTTAACTCATGGCTGAATGCAGCCCTGTTTAGCAGCTTATTGCAGGATACTCGCAGGTCGAGCTGAGAGAAATCACCTGTGCTGGCAGCTGCAAAGACAAAGTGAAAGCTTCGCCTGTAAACACAGAGTTAAAGGGAAAGTCACAGGAGCTTGTAGGTTGAGCTGAGCAAAAAGTGAAAGCTTCTCCGGCAAACACAGAGACAAAAAGAAAGCCACAGGAAAAACCAATTTTGCAAGAACCACTGGAGGGAAAAGAGACCCCAGGGCAGTAGTATAGGAAGGCCACCTACTGGTGGCTGCCACACCAGGGAGGAACCAGACATCGATCTGATTGGACTGGCAGGGGCTGAAGGATATGAGGGTAGGACAGACCAGGCTGCTTCTCTTTGGGACCCGAGGAGCCCATGGTCAGATTAGAAGTTAGAGGCCAGCTAATGGACTTTACGGTAGACACCAGAACTAAACACTTAGTAGTGACCTGACCTATAGAGCCACAATCCAAGAACTGTGCAACTATTGTAGGAGCCACTGGAGTCTCTGAAAAGTGGCCTGTCGGTCAAAGAGGTGTGTTATAGGAGGATGAGAAGTCCAAAATGAATTCCTATACCTCCTAAATTGTCCAGTTTCTTTGCTGGGAAGAGACCTACTTCAAAAACTGCAGGCACAGATTACATTTGGGCCGCAAGGGAATGTAACTTTAAACGTAGTTTGCCCAGAGGCTATGATGTTAACCCTCACTGTCCTGCAGGCTGAGAAATGGAGACTATGCAAAAAAGACTCCGGAACCAGGAGTAAATGAAATGCATGGGTTACTTACTAAAATTCCCAGAGTTTGGGCTGAAAGTAATCCACCTGGACTGGTGCCAGCGTAAATCAGGCACCGGTGGTGGTAGAGTTAAAACTGGGAGAAACTCCGGTTCGGGTCCGACAGTACTCGCTACTCCCTGAGGACATACGGGGTGTCCACAAACATTTAGAGTGGCTTCATAAGCATGGAATCATAGCCAAATGCCAGTCACCATGGAACAACATTCTCTTGCCAGTGCGGAAGCCGTCTGGGGAATATAGGCCAGTACAGGATTTGCATTCAGAAAACCAGGCCACAGTGACCATCCACCCAGTGGTGTCAAACCTGCATACCTTAATGGGACATATTCCAGCAAGTGCCACTTGATTTACAGTCCTAGATTTAAAGAATGCATTTTTCTGTCTCCAGTTTGCACCAATTAGTCAGGCTAGTTTTGTTTTTCAATGGGGGTAAATCACAGTACACTTGGACAAGATTCCCACAAGGATTTAAAAACTCCACTACAATCTTTGAAGAGGCACTGGCCTCAGATCTTAAAGTCTACACCCCACCGAATAGTTACTGTGTCTTGCTCCAGTACATTGATGATCTTCTTCTAGCAGCCCCAACTCAAGAGGACTGCTTCCAAGGGACCCAAGACCTCCTGCACCTGCTATGGAAGGCAGGATATAAAGTGTCAGGGAAAAAGGCTCAAATTTGCTTTGAAAGTTTCCAATATTTAGGCTTCTATATAAGCTAAGGGAAAAGATGGCTTGGTTGTGAATGGAAGCAGGTGGTTTGTGCACTTCCTACTCCAACCACCTGGTGAAAAATAAGAGAGTTCCTAGGGGTAGCAGGGCTCTGCCACATCTGGATCCCAAATTTCTCACTCATGGCTAAGCTATTATATGAAACCACAAAGTGGGGGAAAAGGAGACCATCCTCTGGGAGGCCAACCAGGAGAAGGCCTTTAAGGAAATCAAAGAAGCCTTGACTCTGGTCCCAGCTTTAGGACTGACAGATCTAACGAAGCCTTTCTTTTTATATGTCCACGAGCAAAAGGGAATGGCCATAGGAGTTCTAACTAAATCCATAGGATCATGGCACTGCCCAGCGACGTACTTATCCAGGCAATTAGATTCTGTGGCATTTGGATGGCCTCCTAGTTTTAAGGCATTAGCTGCCACTGCTCTGCTGGGACAGAAAGCTAATAAACTGACTTTAGGACAGCAAATGACGATCCAGGTACCACACTCGGTTGTAACTTTGATGGACCAAAGGGGGCACCATTGGTTATCAAATCCTAGAATAACTCGATACCAAGGGCTCCTATGTGAAAATCTCTGCATAATTTTAGACTGTGAATACCCTAAACCCAGCTACCTTGCTTACCATTGAGTCAATGCCAGGAAGCCCCCTTCAATGCTGTGTGGATGTGGTAGGTGAAGTGTTCTTAAGCCAGAGAGATTTGACAGATCAGCCCCTCGGGGACCCCGACATTGGATATTTTACTGATGGGAGCAGCTTCATACTAGAGGGTGTCCGCCAAGCTGGGTATGCAGTGGTGACTTTGGACTCAGTAGTGGAGGCGAAGTCTTTGCCTACAGGATCTTCCCCTCAGAAAGCAGAGCTGATAGCTCTGACAAGAGCTCTCCAGTTAGCAAAAGTCCAGAAGGCAAATCTTTACAGAGACTCCAAATATGCTTTTGCCACTTTGCATGTTCATGGGGCTATTTACAAAGAAAAAGAACTCTTAACTGCTGGAGGTAAAGAAATAAAGTACAAGGAAGAAATTCTATGACTCTGAGACACTGTATAAGCCCCCAAACAGGTAGCAGTAATGCAATGTAGGCAAAAGGCAGGAACATTAGAGGCTAAAGGAAGCAGAAAGACAGACAAAGAGGCAAAGCAAGCTGCAATGGCGACTCCACCTTCTAAACAAGAAGCCTTAGCTATGACTCTCCTCCCAGAGATTCCCCTTCCAGAGACCCCAAGCTACACTCAAATGAAAGGGCTTGGTTTACCCAGGAAAATGGGAATTACGTTGAAGGAGGATGATGGAAATTCTCCAATGGGAAGCTAGCCATACTTGAAATGTTGGCCCCCAGATTTGTAAAACAGTTCCACCAAGGAACTCACATGGGAAAAATGGCACTAGAGACATTATTAGGGCATCATTTCTATGTGCCACAGCTCACTGCTATTACTCAAGCCGTTTGTAAACAGTGTTTAACTTGTACTCAGAGCAACCCTCGACAAGGGCCTACTTGGCCCCCGGGGAATTCAGAAAACAGTGGCCATGCCCTGTGATAACCTGCTTTTGGACTTCACCAAACTGCCCTGAGCAGGGGGCTATCAGTACATGTTGGTGCTTGTCTGCACCTTTTCAGGATGGGTCAAGGTCTTCCCCACCTAGACATAAAAAGCACAAGAGGTGACCAAGGGAGGCATTATTCCCAGATTTGGACTGCTCCTAAATCTGGGGTCAGATAATGGACTGGCATTTGTGGCTGAAATAGTTCAGGACTTAACTTGACTATTAAAGATAAAATGGAAGTTGCACACGGCCTACCAGCCACAGAGCTCAGAAAAGATGGAGCACATGAACCGGACACTCAAGCAGCTGCTGAAGAAATTTGGTCAGGAATCTCATCTGAGGTGGGATCAGGTCTTATCCATGGTCTTCCCCCGAGTCAGGTGCACCCCCACAAAAAAAAACAAACTGGGTACTTGCCCTGTGAGATTTTGTTTGGCTGGCCACCCCCAATCATAAGGCAGATTAAAGGTAATCTCCGTGAGCTACAAAAACTAACTTTAAGAAGACAAATGCAGGCTTTAGGTATGGCCATGCAAAAAGTGAATGGCTGAACACAGGAAAGAATGCCTATAAGTCTGACAGACCCAGTACACCCTTTCAAACCTGAAGACTCTTTTTAGGTTAGGAAATAGAATCCACCTACTCTGGGACCCATATGGGATGGGCCCCATACTGTGGTCTTGTCCACTCCCACTGCTGTTGCAGGTATCATACCTTGGATCCACCACAGTTGGCTGAAACCGGCAGCCCAGGACCAGTGGACCAGCCAGTAGGACCCAGACCATCTGACCTGGCTGATCATGCAATGAGACCACGTTGCCAGTGGAGATGACAACAGCCCTATTCTGGTCACTCCGGAAGCTGACCCGTCTATGCACGGAAGAAGGTTGAGGAAACAGCAAGCCCTGCTCTAGTCACACTGGGAGCTGACTAGTCTGTGCATGGCTGAAGCTTGAAGAATCATCATCAGATGAGCAAATGTGGCCAGAAGTCTTAGTCCCAGTAATCTTCTTTGTATTATTCATTATATTGCTATAACCACCATGAAATAAAATATTTTATTTTTCATCCACTTTTATGTGGCACTCATTTTTAACATCTACACAAAAAGTTCACATATTTATCTTTTCTGGTTCATTAATCAAGCTGGTGTCTATTTGATTTTCCTTTAGCTGTAAAGAGAATGTTATGTAGTTATCAATCATTTATTATGATCAGTCTCTGAAGCCCTTGGACCAAAAACTCTTCTGGATTGAATTTGTCATGCACCACAATGGAGCCAAGTACCTGCTGCCACCTGCCCACAAGCTCACCTGGTTTCAGTACTGCTCTCTGGATGTGCTGGCCTGCACAGCTCTTGTTACTCTCTTTGTCATACTATGATGCTTGATTATCAAAAGTTTGTTAAGATGAGAAAGAAGGAAAAGAGAGTAGGTCTGTTTGAGATCTAAGGCAGGCAGGCATGATACCAAAAATTGTGCCATTTAATGCCACCACTATGCATCAAGGTATGGACTAAATTCTTTATTACATTTTACAAGACCTGTGCCTTCCTGATTTGTTTGAATTTTTTAATCTTTGTTAAACATAAGTATTGTAAAATTTTATTTTCAGAAAACCTATAATAATTCAATTTTAATGCTTATCTGTGTATATTTTTCAGCTGAAAATAAAATGAGTTTCACTGGAAATTCAGTCTGTTTACTTGAGAAGGCCAGAAAGACTTGCTTTACTGTGCATTTTAAGAAACTTCTTCTTATATATATGTATATATTTTTATAGAATATAATACATTTATATATTTATATATTATATATAATAAATACATATCATATTTTTATTGTTTTATTTCAACTTTTATTTCAAGTTCAGAAGTACATGTGCAGGATGCGCATGTTTGTTACATAGGTAAAGAACCCTCTTCTATATAAACAAATACATTCATATGGAATATATGTGTCCCTGTCAGAAAAAAGAAAAAGAAAAAGAAAAAGAAAAACAGAGCAAGATCCTTGTTAAAAATTGCAAGACAAACTTTATTTTGACAACTGAAGAAGGGGATAGTGACTACAGTATGAACTGAGCTTAACTCCAACTAAGACAAAGGTAACTGAGACTTTTAAAGAAAATCTGTTTATGAATAAAAAGGGAATATGAGGAAATCAAAATAAGGAAACCAAAAAGAGAGTAGTGGGCTATATGGAAGTAGAAAATTACATAAAAATTAAGTGTAAAATGATTGATTATTAGACAAGATTAGTTAGGGTAATTTTGGAATTTGGCAGCGTCACATTTTATTGAGCAAAGCCTCAGCATGAAGGCTAGGGTCACCTTCCAGGACAAATCCATGACATAGTGCACATATAAGCTGGACTAAACTTGGCTAAGTCTCTTAGCATGGTGTTTAGGCAGATTCTTCCTGTTACATGGAAGTTTCCAAATAATATCGTTCATGAAATACAAAATGTTTTCTCATAAAAATTTCTTTGTTTCAAAACTCTAGATGTTTATAACTGGCTTCCTATGTAAAACTATGCAACCTAGTAAAATCTTTGGTTAGAATGACTAAAGATGTTTTCCACATGAGGCCTTGAATACACTTGAGTTACTATTTTGCTTTAGTAATGACCATTTGTAATTGGATAGTAATACACAAAATAAAAGAAGAGACTAGTTTCCTTTAGTTCGGAATTATAGATATGTAGTCCAGTCCCTCTAGATTATGTTACATGGATTTCTCTCTTGCAATAAGATCTCACATTTCTTGCCCTTACCTTGTCAAGTGTGATATTTCCACCTACTTTAATACCTGGAGTACTGAGGATATACAAACCAGAAATGTATATAATTATTTTAGTTATTCTCTCCTCATAACATATTGAAAAATAAATTGTAGGTGGAATAAAGAGTCAAATATTCTGTGCAACAATTTTTAAAGTCCATGCTGGAGAAAACATGATAAATGGCAAAAGCTCTCCAATACCTGCGTTAAATTATTGTTCATTACAGCCTTTGGACTCAGAACAAGGTTTGAAAAGCAAATAAGAGAGAAGAAGGGAACCAACTTAAGAGCAATTCTTCCATCTGACAAGAGATGTGTCTAAAACAGTTGAATGAAAGAGAGACATAATGATTATTTCTCACACATGAAATAGATTTTTATAGTACTCTTCTCTATGAGAAAATATTGTAGCAATAATTGCTAATAAGATGAATTATTATAATGTCTAGAAAAGAAATATACACTAAATATTTCACTTAAACTTTGAACATATAGTCATGCCACTAGAAAGAAAAAAATACCAAAGTACAAGAAAAAAAGTGTAATGTATTAGTGCTTTTTATAGTAATGTCTTCTTTATAAAAGAGGGAAAACCTTATAGATAAATATTAGTATGCAGAAATAATGAAGCTCAACCTGTACTACACAAGTTAAATTTTAGTCTATTTATATTTTCTTAATGAAACAACTTCTGAAAGTGTACCAAGGACCTTGCCAAAATAGATCTTCTTTGCAATTCTTAGACCATAGAGCCAGATACAAAAATCTATGTCTATTCATGAGTTATCAAAGAATACTTTCATTTGTTTTAATTTTGAGAAGTCTTTTCATATAAAGTACTATGTACACACACAGTTAGGAAAGTATGTGAATATGAAGATTTACTTTATAGAGACTCCTAAAATCACATAGTATATTAAATTCCAAAAATGTCAATATTGTGAATGTGTCTGTTTCTTTGAGATTGATTCTACAAGATTTTAAATATCTCAGCAGTTAAAAAAAATTAAACAAAGAAACTCTAAGTAGTCACATGGAATCATTGAATTGAAATAACATTCTTCATCCTTCATCTTTTTCTATAAAATTTTGAATATGCTCCTTAAGGACTGAAATATGCAAGCACCACAGAAGTTGAAGACAAAAATGAAATAATTGTGAATTTAGTCATGAAAATAACATATGAAGCTGAGTCTATCGATGTCAAGGACAAGTGTTTTATATAGGAGTTTTCTGAATTAATATCTATGCAAAATGTAATGTTTTTTATAAGATAAAACAAATGTGATAATTAGAAGTTTCCTTCTTATATTCTTTAAGTATAGTCTTTAATATTCTTAAATATATTCTTTAACATACAAATCCTTAAAACCCAATAATAATTGTAAAAATTACTAAATAACAGTAAAGAGTAGCGTCTTGGAGGGGACGTGTCTTCTGGCATCTACCACCTCACAACCACTCCAGTGTTCTCTATTGATGAAGCTTAGCATTCATCTAGCTGGCAAAGGAAGAATGTTTACAGGATCCTGATTCAGTATCATAAAGCTATATTTGCACCCAAGGAACAATAAACTGAAAAATAGTAAAGCATAAAATTTCAAATTTCTCATTTGTTATCATTCTAAAAGTTGTTGTTCCTTTGGACACTGAATCTTGGTAAAATTCGGATGAGTAGGAGACATGGCTTTCTTTTGAAAATAACATTTTTGAAAGTGGGGGCATGTAGAGGTTCTGAGAAAGATGAGCTTAGAGTTGTCCCACTGGGTTTACCACCCCACTGGTGGTCACTTCCCTAATGTCCAAATGTATAGTAAGCATTGAGATACTAGCAGGTTGGATTTGTTATTTCGGTAGTAGCATCCTCAGACTTGGTTAGAGGGAGTCTCGTTGTGCTGGGCCCATGTGTATCCTTCACCTATTGCCACTCTATTCATACTCCCAACAAATCAACACTGGAGTAGCCAGTTATTTGGTGCTTTACCTATGATGGAAATTAGCTTTCTTTAATTCCAAGCATATTGAGATGTATCATTGATTTCACTGTAAGTTCCCAAATATTAATCTGATGAATCACTTTTTGGGTTTATGATCCAGTGAAAATTTTGTTCACATACTGCACTGATTTTTTCAAGGATGTTTTTCTATAGCTTCTTCTTTGGTATAGAGACTTTATTAAGGATGAATTTGCTCTTCATAAAAGAACTAGAACATTGACTCATCATAACAGTGGCTCAGAGTGATTGCCAAAAAAAAAAAAAAGATAATTAAAGGTCAGATAAACAAGTAAAAATTAACGAATAATCTTTAGTCAGATAAGGTAAACTTTGCTGTTGGATTAGTCAATCATAATGAGGACATACAGGTTGAAAGAGGCAGGACAGAATGAAATAAAAATTGAGACAAACACATTGAATCAGGTCATAAATGCTTTAACAAAGCATACAACTTGTAGATAAGACCAAGAAATCCACTAGAAACAAGAGAGCTTTTATCTTAAAGGAATAAATATATAAATCAAAAATCAAAGTCTCATTCTGATTGTTTCCTCTACCTACAATCCTTAGGTAAAAATCTTCCAACTGTGTAAAACTGGTTATTTCCTCATGTGGTTTTCTTGGGGAAATATTCAACAGGTGTTGATTTCTGCACTATCGCTCATATTTATTGTGTATTTTGAGAGCATCCCTTCACAATATTTAAAATTTCCTCTCCTGCAGGCTAGGGACATCTACAGTTCCACACATATTTTATTATTTTTTTTTTAACAAAAGTCACTGCTCTCTGTAAATTTTTGTTCCTTACTTAGGTACTATGTCTCATTTGGTTTCCTCCCAAAAGTCACTTTCTCATAGTTCTCATAAGCATGTATTCAGAGAATTCCCTCCAATTTTAACAATTGGTGGACATCCTTCTTTCATTTTATACTAGGCTGTATATGTTGTTCAACATCATTTTTTCTTATGCATGTGTATGTGTCTGGAGCAGAAGTGGGAAAAGTTGAGTCACTTATGATCACCTCATTATACTACATTTTTTAATTTATTTGAGGCTAGTTTTTAGGACACCTATTTCATATATAAAAATCTATGAGTAAATATTTTAAAATGCTTAATGTTTCAGTAGTTGTAAAAAATATAAATTCACACTTTTTAGGATTTTATTGTGTTTTTAATGTCCATATGTAATGAATTTCATAGTTGCTTAGAGGCTTCTGTTGACTAACTCAATAGGTTATATTTGTGGAATTTTGAGACATCACTGCAAACACTTTGACATTCTTATCAAACCGTGGTCCCTCCCCTTGAATTTTGGCAAGACTCGTGGCTTTCTCAGCAAAGAAAGTATACTGGAAGTGACAGCATAGTTTTGAAGACTGTGTTAGAAAAGGCAGTCTGTCTCCGTTTGTCTGTCTGTCTATGTCTTTTACTTATACCTCTTTCTCTCTCTCTCTCTCTCCTCCCTCTTTCCCTTTTTCTCCCTCTATATACTTTGGAGCCCAGTGTTACACCCAAAGTCCTGATGATAAATGACAACTCGGGGAATGATGCAAAGAAGAGACTAAGAAGTCATGATTATTCAGTCCCACAGGAATTTGAGTCTTTTGACATCCATCACCAAGTACGTGAATGAATGACCTTCAGATGATTACATCCCCAGCCACCCTATTAAAGTAATGACCTGAGAAATACTGTGTATGAACCATCTTGCTGAACCTACCCAACACTCATGCTATGGAAATTGTAATAAAATGCTAATTGTTTTTCAAAGTCCCCATGATTGAGGGTAGTTTGTTAGGAAGTGATAAATAGCTACAAGGATATTTCTAAAAATTTAATTATACATTCATAATAATATACACTTAATATAGAGACAAGAAAATGGAAACTACAAATGTGACATTTTGAAAATAACTAACTCAGAAAGGGGAGTCAGCGTAGCATGGTGGTTAAGAGCTCCTGCACTCTGGATCCAGTTAGCCTGGATTCAAGTCCCTGCAAAACCTCTAGAGAATTATGTGGGGTTTGGCAAGTTGCCTCACCTGTACACCTCAACTTCTCCATCAGTGAAACGGAGATGGAGTAATGCCATTATTCACCTCCTGTGGCTGATGAAAGGATGGATGCATTAACTTGGTAAAGCTCTACAGTTGCTGTATGTAGCAAAATAAATTTGCATTAATTATAATAATTATTAAATAGACAGAAAAATTTCCACAATGATATGAGTCCTTACCTAAATTACTTCACATATTTTTTAAAATGTAAATGTTTCAAATGTAAATGATAAAAATAACAGCATTTGCTATTTTTAAATATGTAGGAATTACATTTATTGTAATTTAATTAATCAAAGGATAACAAATCAGTGCCTCTGGGCAAACTCTGGCCAACCACATGTTTTTTTAATATTTGAGGTAAGAATCACATAAAATAATATGTACATTTTAACTATTTAAAAGTGAACAATTCAGTGGCATTCACAGTATTGTGTAACTACCATTGCAATCTAGCTCCAAAACTGTCACCAACCTAAAAGGATGTGTATACACATTAGACAGTCACTTGCCATTCAAGCAGCCCATAGCCTGGTAACCTCGAACTGTCTGTTAAAATCATCCTGTAGTATATTAGGAGATTTTTTTAAAAGGTATACAGCAATATCATTTTCAACTAAATTTTTTTTTCTTAATTTTCACGTGTCCCATTTGTTCTTAAATTGCAATATTCTAGTATGTAAAAATTTACTTTTTATGTCCTTTGCCCAAGTTTTAATGAAGTTGTTTCTTCTTGTGAATGTGTTTAAATTTCTTATAGATGCTGGATATTAGACCTTTGTCAGATGCATAGTTAGCAAACATTTTCTCCCATTCTATGGTTGTCTGTTTACTCTGTTGATAATTTCCTTTGTTGTACAGAATCTCTTTAGTTTGATTGAATCCCATTTGTTAATTTTTGCTTTTGTTATAATTGATTTTGCTGTCTTCATTATGAAAACTTAGCCCATTTCTATCTCTAGAATGGTAGAGCCTAACCAACAAGCATATGAAATATGAAAAAAAAGCTCAATGTTACTGATCATTAGAGAAATGCATGTCAAAACCACAGTGATATTCCATCTTACACCAGTCAGAATACAATCTCACACCAGGTACTGGTGAGGTTGCAGAGAAAAATGAGTGCCTATACATTGTTGATAGGAGTGTACATTAGCTCAACCACTATGGAAAACTGAGTGTGGTGATTCCTTGAAGGCCTAAAAGGAGAACTACCATTAAATCCACCAATTGCATCCCTGGGTATATACCCAATAGAATAGATATCATTCTATCATAAAGACAGCTGCATATGTATGTTCATTGAAGCACTATTCACAATAGCAATGACACAGAATCAATCTAAATGCCCATAACTGATAGACTGGACAAAGAAAATGTGGTACATATATACTGTGGAATACTATGCAGCCATGAAAACAAATGAGGTCATGTCCTTTGTGGAAACATGGATAGAACTAGATGCCATGATTCTTAGCAAACTAATACAGGAGCAGAAAATGAAATACCACATGTTCTCACTTATAATTGGGAGCTAAATAATGAGAATACATCAACACATAGAGAGAAACAACAGACCTAATAGAGGGTAGAGGGTGGGAGGAGAGAGAGAATAAGGATAAATAAATATAAGTCATGGGTTTTAGGTTTACTACCTGATGATGAAATAATATGTACAACAAACCCCCATGACACAAGTTTACCTATGTAACCAAACTGCACATGTATCCCTGAACTTATAATAAAAGTTTAAAGAAAAAATGTTTTTTTCTCCTTGATTGTTGGCTTAATTTTTCCTAAATATATGCAGAAGGTGGAGATACTTTACAAAAAAAATTTGTACCAGCCCCTTCAAAAATGGTAGAATTAGAAGTTCCATGGAGCAAATTTCAAGGGAAACAGTGATAACTAGTGAAAATTGTTTTCTAAAACAACCAGTCGATGCCTCTGGAAATAACCCTGAAGGCATACAACAAACAAAGTAACATGTACTGAAGAAAATACACTAATTTGTGGTGAAAACAGTGAGAGTCTTTGGCATTTAAACCACAACATGCTCACTTGCCCACCCTCGTAATTCACTGTGACAGAAACTACCTTTGCTCCAGGGAGATGCTGACACCACCACAGGCTTCCCACTCCCCAAAGCTTCCAGTTGAGGGCCAGAGTATGCTGTTGAGGAGAGATGTCTCTCTGAATTTCTTATCTACACACACTAAGGCATATGCTGCAAAAGCTAAATTCCTCCAGACAAGTGTGGCTAAGAAGGGTCTCCCATCTTTCATCTAACCACAGTCATAACTCAGAGGTTTAACTCAAGAATGGCACAGAGAATATTGAGTACCAAATAATCACTGCCCCAGCTCATTCATAGGATGAAGTTACCATGATGGGAGAGGAAAAGTAAGAATAAAGGTCAGAGCCTTACTCTTAAGGCATGAATGTTGCTCAGAAAGAAGTGTGTCACTGTCTCTGTCCCCAGCTGTATAGCCAAGGTCAAGACTTAACTGCACCAGGAGAGTCAAGCCATAAACACATAGCTCCAAATCTGTTCCCAAAGAAACCTGTTTTATTTTTGAAAATATGAGAAGTTTTATGTTTAAAAATGTGAGAAGCCTAAGAGTGCTCTAAAAATGTAGGTATTGGTGCATATGTATAATTATTTTTATTTTTTGTTAAGTGTATGTTTAAAAATATAAAATTTTTCATTTTCTTGATTAATACTTTGGCCTGAATTATGTCTGATCTGATAAGATTTTTGCTTTTTATTTTTTATCATTTATTGAATTTACCTCATATTTCTTAGTCCAAGTCAAATTTTTTCAACTTTGTAAGTAGTTTATACTTGAGGTTGATTGTTATATACAGACAGATGTTAAAGTTTATGTTGTTAGCCAGAAGAAAAAGCTTTTCTTTCTTTAGTTTCTGTACAGTATTCTTTTTTATTCTCACACCAAGCATTTTTAGAGATTATAGGTACCTGCTATTGAGCTCTCAAAATAAGATGGGATCTATGTTATTATCAACTAAACTTTTATTCACAAAATTTGCTGTATAATGAAATTATTTTCATTTGACTAGAGTTAGAATTTGTCATCGTGCCATAATTAGGAATCTTTAAAAGGCATATTATAGGCCCTCATGTTACTTCATAATGCTAACTGGATTATAATAATAATATATTGCTATAACATGTATTATCAGAGTTTGAATATATCACCACACATCCTTTATGCAAAGATTGAGAACATATGACCTAATTTCTACATAAAGTATGATAAATGTAAAATGTTGTTTTGATTTTACATACTTTACATGAATTGCATACACCAGGAGTAACTAGTAAAGTTGAGTGTACAAAAGTGAAAGTGAGTCGATCGTAGACAAAGAGTACAGATTTGGTGAGAGTTTATTAGAGTAAGAATGAAAACAAAATAAAAATGTAAATTTTAGAAATATAAAGATATATGTGAAAACGGCATAACTGATATGTATGAAACATGAAGTATAAAGAAAGTATAAAGAAGGCAGAAACTAACACTGGTAATCTCTAATATCAGAAATTATCTGTATATTTACTATTTTTAAAGTTTTTATATAAAGTTATATGTATGTAAAATATGTGCGATATATATAATTTATTACAAAGTTTCATGTGGAATGTTAAAATTATCCAATTTTTGAGGCATCATTAAAGTGACTCAAGCAGAAAAGGTGTAATCTGGACTGTCCTAAAAATCTGGGGCCTATTAAAACACTCTTCATATTTATTTAACGTGTATGGATATTTTTCACGAAATGTATATTTTTTCATGAGAGAAATTTCTAAATTTCTTTAAATTATGTAGCCCAGTAGAGTCTTAAATTGAAAGGCAGTAGTTTGAGAATTTTAAAAATTGTTTCCAGTAGGACATATGGTGCACAATCATACATTTATTACATAAATATAGTATGCTTAATGTTGTTTACTTTAGTGTATGAGACTTTCCTATTAGCACTTGTACTACAGTTACACATTGTGATGATGAGAGACACCCACATGACATATACCTACAAAGACACGGCTCAGGCAAATGCAAAGCATGCAACTAACGGCTTTTAGGATCAGCCAGGTTCCTATAGTTTCATATGCACCTGAAAGTGGGCAGGACCTGCTGAGATCAGCTATACTAGCCTAGATCAAAATTGTGAGAAGAACCATGAAACCATGAGTTAAACAGTTTTTTTTTTAAGATATTAAGAAATGAGGTAGTTTGTAATGCAGCAACAGAAAACTAATAAAAGACTTTCTCCTTGAGTTATTCTCCATGTTACAAGTCTTTTATCATTAATATACTTTATTGAGAATGTAAATGTGCAATACATCTGAAAGTACAGACCATTTGGGCACCATCAAAAATAGAAAACACAAAGTCCCACTGTGCTCTTTATTAACATTTGACAATGAGGCATCCAAGAAAAGTCTGGAGGCCCAGTTCTTCCCATTTTTTCCAGCCCCCAGTAAAGATAACAGGAACAGTGATATGTGACCATTTACTATATTGTATGAAGTTAACATTTCAAGCAGAAATTCTAAGAAGTTGATCCATGTGTTAATGTTTAATGGATCACCATTAGAATGGTGTTCTTTATAGCTTAGAAAATAATTCCACCACATCTGGAAATAATTTTACTAACCTTTAAATCCAGGCTACACTTGTCCTCATTTCCAGTCTTCACTGTCTAATATATTTAATATATAGTCATCTGGGAGAATGAGTGAATACCCATTAATGTCCATATCCACATTCTTCTTCTTCCCTTGCTTAGTGCGTTGGGACATACACCAATCTGACTAATTTAAGGTATGGTCTCTCACCTCATAAATTCCCCTAAACTGATTAGGAAGCTTTTACTCATGTCTTGTAGCAATTCTTTTGCATATGGTGAGCATCTTACTGTCTAAAGCTGTCTCAACCAGTCCCTCTATACACTTTCCTGAACACCTTCTGCACCTGATGCCAACATATGTATTCAAAATATATTCCCATAATCAGTGTGATTCTTTTAAAGTACACTATGAAACATATATTAGTTTAATTCACATACTGAGTAAATTTCTTCTTAATTTTTAGATATTCTTTGTAAATATGACTTTCTAACTCTGACAACACTTCTCTTTCTTCAACGCCACAAACCTCTCCAGTTTTGCCTCACTCAGTATAAGCTGGGGCACTGGTGGCATAGAAAAAAAATTCAGGACGGGCGCGATTTCTCATGCCTGTAATCCCAGCACTTTGGGAGGTCGAGTTGGGTGGATCTCAAAGTCAGGAGTTCAAGACCAGCCTGGCCAACATGGTGAAACATTATCTCTATTAAAAATATACAAATTTGCTGGGCTCTGTGACACACTCCTGTAATCCCAGCTACTCTGGAGGCTGAGACAGGACAATCCCTTAAACCCGGGAGGTGGAGGTTGCTGTGAGCCAAGATTGTGCCACTGCACTCCAGCCTGGGTGACAGAGCAAAACTCCATCCCAGAAAAAGTAAAAGAAAAAAAAATCATTATAAACTGTAATTATTGTACTTTCTAAGCACTCCTTTTTAGAATATTCTTTTAAATATTTAAAATCTTCTTTTAAAGCTCAGTCAGTAAAACAAATATCATCATTTACCTTTCTTTCTTAAGTACTTTCTTCCATCCTCAGCATTATATTCTTCTTGAATATCAGTTTTTGTTAGTTTCATGATCATGTTAGTTTTCAAAATAGTGGTAATAATTACATCTTGGGACATAGAAAGTTCTCTAACCAGTTTCTCCATATTTATCGCTACCCAGCCAACCTGTGAATAGCCTACTTTCCTTTAACACAATATTCAGTTTCACATTAAATAAAACTGATGATTGTGCTTCGTTTACCGTCACTTAAACCATGGTTTACAAGGACTTAAAACTTTCACTTAAACATTTTTTAAAAATTTGAATGATTACTACTAATTTTCACAATATACTAAATTTGATGGTGTCAACTTGACCGGATTGAGGGATGCCTGGATGGCTGATGAAGCATTGTTTCTGAGTGTGTCTGTGAAGATATTTGCAGAGGAGATTGACATGAGAATTAGTGGACTGAGAAAGGAAAACCCACCCTCAATGTGGGCAGGCACCATTCAATTGGCTGGGGTCCCACCACGACAAAGCAGGTGGAAAAAGGGCAACACTCTGCTCATGCCTTTGCTCCTCTCTCTTTATTCCACAGTGGAACATCTTTTTTCTCATTTTTTCCTTTGGATATAAGACTCTAGGATCTTCATCTTCTGGATCCCGCGACTTAAACCAGTGGCCCGCTGCAGGCGATCAGGACTTTGGTCTCAAACCGGGGACTTCACTGTCTGGTTTCCTGGATCTATACTTTGACTAAGCCAGGCTTTTAGTGTCTGTGGTTCTCCAGCTGGCAGATAGCTTGTTTTAAGACTTCACTTTATTGATCTTCTGAGCCAATTTTCCTAAAAATTCTTTTCATTTATATTCTATTGTTTCTGTCCTTCTGGAGAACCCTGACTAATACAGATTTTGGTACCAGGAGTCATTCTAGAGGAACGGAATTTTAAGGATGAATTTCCTTAATTGTTGTTGGGGTTTCTGGAATTGGCTGTATAATCTGATTAGACCTAAAAGTCCTAAGAACCCTACTTCCGATAATACAGAGACCATAGATAGTTTTTGGCCTAAGCTGTTTATAAAGATATGCTAAAAAATGCATTTTATACACCTAATTTACCACTTACAAGAGGCAGGGTATTTTGTGACACTATACATGATACTTTCAGAAATTTGTGGAAAACCAATAAATATAATGATGTTGGTTTGTTGCTAACATTGCTGGACAATGTTGAAAGAAAAGGATGAGCTCAGAGATTCAAATTCTTAGCTGAAAATGGATATAGCCTAAGCATTTCTACATGTTCCCTAAAGGAGAAGCATCTCTCCTTTAGCCATAGGGATGAAATGGCTGAAAATCAAAGAGAAACCCTAGTCATTTAATTAGCTGACGTATAGAAAAGATGGATTTTCAACCTCACTGGGAGTCTGCTGTTAAAATGAGGGCATTGATTGAGAAAGAATGGGACCCTGTAAGTTGAAATGGGGATCTATGGGAGGACCCTCATGAAGCTAGGGACATTTAGCCTAATGTTTGAGTAATTTTGTTTGTTTGTTCGTTTGTTCTTTGCCTAGGCAAGTGACCTCCCACCTCAATGACAGTGTCATTCCTCACCCATTCCCACAGTGTCATCGGTTTTTCCACCTATGTCAACGTAACTGCATTGCCGGAAGTAACAGTAATGGCCTCTCCTGAAGCAGTTGGCAGGTGAAGCAAGGCTGATTTTCCTCAGGACCTATCCTAACGACCCCTTTTGGTTTCTAAACCTATAACTAGACTTAAGTCTCAGCAGGTCCCTAAAGGGAGATTCAAGATATCACCCATGAGGAGGTGCACTGCACTCTGAAAGAAACACCTGAGTGTTCTAATTTATATAATCAGAAATCGGGTAAACATATGTGAAAATGGATAATAAGGGTGTGGGAATAACAATAGAAGAGACACGAAGTTTGATGACACCAAATTAATATATGTGGTCTCATTAAGTAGAGATTCTGCATTTAATATAGTACATTGGGATGTAGCCAATGATTAGGCTGGAAGGTTAAGGATTTGTGAGGGATTATAGGATTGATGATGAAGAAAATTAAGGAAAAACTATCTGGATAAACCTCTTTGAGGGGGCAAAATATATGAAGACATTTGTGAGTCATGTGAATGTTCTTCAAAGAATGACATCACTAGAAGAAAATTTTAATAATAAAGTGGATGGGATGACCCCTCCTGTAGATCTGGGGTCAGACTCTTTCCTCAGCTACCCCTGTTATCACCCAATGGGCTCATGAGCAAAGTGGCTATGATGGCATTGATGGAAGTTATGCATGGGTTAAGCAACATAATCTTTCACTCACTAAGTTCAACCTGGCTAAAGCCACCACTGTGTGCCCAATATGCAGGAACAGAGAGCCATGCTAAGCCCCTGATATGGCATCATTCTCCAAGATAATCAACCAGCTTCCCAGTGGCAGATTGATTACCTTAGACCACCTCCATCATAGAAGGAGCTGCATTTTTTTCTTACTGGAATACATACTTATTTTGAATATGGATTTATCTTCTCTGAACATATACATCTGTCAAAACTACCATCCATAAATTTACTGGATGCCTAATTCTCTATCATGGTCTTCCACACAGTATTGTTTCTGACTAAGGAACTGGCTTTACTGACAAAGAAGTGCAACAATGAGCTCATGCTCATGAAATTTACTGGTTTTACCATGTTCCTCATTCTCCTGAAGCAACTGCCTTTGTACTATAGTGAAATGGCCTTTAGAAGTTATAGTTACAGTGTCAGCTAGGTAACAGTACTTTTCATGGCTGGGCCAAAGTTCTCCAGAATGCTGTATGTGCTATGAATTGGCAGAATCAAATAGACGCAATAAAAAATGATATGGGGGATATCACCACTGATCCCACAGAAATACAAACTGCCATCAGAGAATACTATAAACACCTGTACGCAAATAAACTAGAAAATTTAGAACAAATTGATAAATTCCTGGACACGTACACTTTCCCAAGCTTAAACCAGGAAGAAGTCAAACACTGGTTATTCTAGTTAGAAATTCATCTAACCTCTTTTCAAGGTTCTTAGCTTCCTTGCATTGGATTACAACATGCTCCTTTAGCTTGGAGGAGTTTGTTATCACCCATCTTCTGAAGCCTATCAAACTCATTCTCTATCCAGTTTTGTTCCCTTGCTGGCAAGTTGTGATCCTTTGTAGGAGAAGAGGCATTCTGGCTTTTGGAATTTTCAGCCTTTTTACACTGGCTTCTCCCCATCTTTGTGGATTTATCTACCTTTTGTCTTTGATGTTGGTGACCTTCAGATGGGGTCTTTGAGTGGACATGCTATTCTTTTCTGTTTGTTACTTTTATTTCTAATTGTCAGGCCCCTCTGCTGCAGGTCTGCTGGAGTTTGCTGGAGGTCCACTCCTGACCCTGTTTGGCTAGATATCACCAGAGGAGGCTGCAGAACAGCAAAGTTTTCTGCCTGTTCTTTCCTTTGAAAGCTTCATCCCAGAGGGCCACCTGCCAGATGTCAGTCAGAGCTCTCGTGGATGAGGCATCTTTCAGCCCCTATTGGGAAGTATCTCTCAGTAAGGATACACAGGAATCAGCGACCCACTTCAGGAGGCAGTCTGACCCTTAGCAGAGCTCGAACACTGTGCTGAGAGGTCCACTGGTCTCTTCAGAGCCATCAGGCAGGGACATTTAAATATTGAAGTTGTGCCCACAGCCACCCCTTCCCCCAGGTGCTCTCTGTCCCAGGGAGATGGGGGTTTTATCTCAAGGTGAATAAATGAATAAATAAATAAATAAATAAATAAATAAATAAATAAATAAATAAAATCATTGACTATAGTCACTCTGGTGTGCTATCAAATAATAGGTCTTATTTACTTATTCTTTAACCTTTTAACCATCCCCACCTAAACCCCACACCCCCATTATCTTTCCCAGCCTCTGGTAACCACCTTTCTATTCTCTATCTCCACAAGTTTAATTGTTTTGATTTTTAGATCCCATAAATAAGGGGTAACATAAAATCTTTGTCTTTTGGTGCCTGGATTGCTTCACTTAACATAATGATTTTCACTTCTATCCATGTTGTCAGAAATGATGGAATCTCTTTTCTTTTTATGGCTTAGTATTACAGTGTTATGTGTTTGTACCACATTTTCTTAATCCGTTAATCTACTGATAGACACTTAGGTTGCTTCCAATTCTTAGCTATTTTAACAGTGCTGCAACAAACCTGGGAGTGCAGATTTCCTTTCAATATATTGAGTTCCTTTTTTAAGTATATATTCAGCAGTGAGATTGCTAGATCATATGGTAGCTCAATTTTTAGTCTTTTGAGGAAACTTCAAAGAGTTCTTTATAGTGATTGTACTAATTTACATTACCAAAAACAGTGTACAAGGATTCCCTTTTCTGAACATTCTTTCAGCATTTGTTATTGTCTGACATAGCTAAAAGCCATTTAACTATGGTAAGATAATATCTCATTGTAGTTTTGATTTGCATTTCTCATATGTTCAGTGATGTTGAGCACCTTTTTATATGCCTGTTTTTCATTTCTACCTCTTCTTTTGAGAAGTGTCTATTCAGATTTTTTGCTTGTTTGTAACTTGGATTATTAGATGTTTTTCTATAGATTTGTTTCAACTCCTTATATATTCTGGTTATTAATCTCTAGGTATTTTATTCTCTTTGAGGCAATTGTGAATGGGAGTTCACTCATGATTTGGCTCTCTGTTTGTCTATTATTGGTATATAAGAATGCTTGTGATTTTTGTACATTGATTTTGTATCCTGAGACTTTGCTGAAGTTGCTTATCAGCTTAAGGAGATTTTGGGCTGGGACAATGGGGTTTTCTAGATATACAATCATGTCATCTGCAAACAGGGACAATTTGACTTCCTCTTTTCCTAATTGAATACCCTTTATTTCCTTCTCCTGCCTAATTGCCCCGGCCAGAACTTCCAACACTATGTTGAATAGGAGTGGTGAGAGAGGGCATCCCTGTCTTGTGCCAGTTTTCAAAGGGAATGCTTCCAGTTTTTGCCCATTCAGTATGATATTGGCTGTGGGTTTGTCATAGATAGCTCTTATTATTTTGAGATACGTCCCATCAATACCTAATTTATTGAGAGGACAAGAATTTAAAGCTCATAAATCTGCTTGTACCTCAATCCCGTTTTTAATGCCGTGTTTCAACATGAAATGGAAGAAAGCATAAAGAATTGAGTGGAAATAAATGATTTAGACCCTGATGTTTTTAAAGAAATGATGACATTCATTAACACAGGGAAAGAACTAAACCTTGACAAAATGACGGACAACTTGTTGGCAGCTGCAGACAAACATGCACTGGGAACAGCTAAAGGTCATGTGTGAGGAAGCTTTGTAGTAATCTCTCAGTAGAAAATATTGCTGATCCCCTTGTCCTTGCAGATTTGCATGTTGCAGAACAGTTGAAAGCACAAACCATAGACATTATTAATAGGTGCAGTGTACTTCGACAACTTCGCTGTAAAGATAAGAAAAACTGGAATGTCAACGAAGCAACCAACATAATGGAAACATCAAGGTGAAAGTGCACGATTCAGTCTCACCCTTACTTAGCAGCAGAAGCCTTCTGAGCACTAGCATCTGCACAGTGTCCACAGTTTGGCATTCCACACACACGGCTAAAACAGTCCTAAATCTTCCATGAACAATTGAAAAATGGAATTGACTTTTAGTCATTCAAGTCCAGAAGGATTCTAATACATAAACCATAAGAAAGAGTTGTTTCTGTTATTTGGTCCACAGAACAGAAGCTTAAAAAGCATATTTCTTGAATTTCAGGTGGATAATTAATGGTTTATTTTTCAGGTTTAAGTTAGACTGATTAAATCACTTCAAGGCCTTAAATTATTTTCAATGACTTCTCTTGTTCATATAATGTTTTAATTTTTTTATTGTGCCTTGTCATTTTGACCAATGCTATGCAGGATTATATAAACTAGCTTTATAATGCAGTAATATTGATAAGTGAAGATATTAAGTTTCAAAAGGATCTTTTATTTTGAAAAATAAAACTGAATTTTATAGGGTTTGTCCTACGCTGTCTCAAGGTTTAAGATTAAATTCTCTTTAAAAGCACTCGTATTGGAGTTTACCAGTAATGTCTTCAATCTAAGTTCTATAAATATGAGAGAACCTACTTACCTTCCAAGTAAGTTACAGCAATACACTGCTTCAATTCTAATTTATTTTTTATTTCAAGGGGCAAATAAACAATGAGTTGGCCCAGATTTTTAGTGAAAATTGTGATGTTTGTCTTGTATGTTAACTGTCCAATAAACTGTGGGTTTATCTAAGTTTACAATATATGAGAATTGAATGAGGTTTAAATATCATGAAGAAAGCATGTATTGTGTGGAACTAGTTTTTTTTTAATTTACAGTGACCTACATTTATATGTACATGTTAAGAGTAAGTATGACCAAATGTAAATTTAATGAGTGGGTCAATTAGCAAAGATATATATATATACATAATATGTATATACACACTTTCATTTTTACTGTGTAACTTTGTATGCTGAATGGTACATATTTATTTTTGCTTTTGAGATAATTAATAAGGTAGAATTAATTGTGTTTTAATACTTGAAAGAAATTTTTAAAAGGAGGCAACTGGGATGTTTGGGATAATAAATAAGAAAGATATTCTTGATTGTATTAAATAGTTTTGGATTGCAGATATTCATTATTGAATTTACTCCTGTTTTTCACACTTTGGAAAATACATCTAACAATAAATGAATCTTGGATAGTCTACTCTCCTTCAAAACCTGAACCAAAGGCCAAGGCAGGTGGATCACCTGAAGTCAGGAGTTTGAGACCAGCCTTGCCAACATGGCGAAACCCTGTCTCTACTAAAAATACAAAAAATTACCCAGGCGTGGTGGTGGATGCCTGTAATCCCAGGAACTTGTGAGGCTGAGGCAAGAGAATTGCCTGAACCGGGGAGGCAGAGGTTGCAGTGAGCCAAGATCGCGCCACTGCACTCCAGCCTGGGCAACAAGAGTGATACTTCATCTCAAACAAAAAAGAGAGAGAGAGAGAGAGAACTGATACTTGCCTGTGGGAGATGCAAACAAAAAGAGAGAAACTTTAGAGTATATCAGGTCACACACCATGAGCATCCCCACCCATCTCTTATTTCTTTGTGTTTCAGTTACTGTAATAACATTGTGGATGATATGGAAATTCTGCTTAATATGAATAGTTATAAACTATAATTTGGAAAAAAAATGAATGACACCAAATGATAACTTGAATTTATAAGAACAAAAAAGAATGGTAATGAGGAGGTGTAGTGTGGCATTTTGATATTATCATGATATTGGAGGCAGGTAACAGATATCAACAAATTCTGCCCTGTCATTTAGTACTTTTGTTTACAGGATGACTGAAGAATACACACTACAAATGTTATAAATGTTATCAGAAAGAAGTTATGTATTAATGGGTAACTTCACTAGCACAATAACAAGAAGTAGGTATTGAAAAAAATCTGAAACGTATCATGGAGTTTAGGCTTTCCATGTAACCTGGGCCGTTTTACTTACCCTAATTTTGAAATAGGCCTATTCAGTATGTTGTTCAGAGGGCTATTCAGAGAATGGAAACCCAAGGCTCACCTTTCTTGAGTCTAAGTACCCACTCAGCCAAGTATATTTAGCAAAATAGAAAAACCAAACTGCTTTGGTGACTGGACTTTGCCAATGTCTGAAAGAAAGAAGTAACAGAAAGGAGAGTCTAAAGTTGATCCTGTACAGTATAAAACATTTCCCCAAAACGACTTTGCTTCTAACACCTATATTGATGCTACCTCCCATCTGAGAAAGAAGGGGGATATAAGCAGGAGTCAAGGCCAGGCACAGTGGCTCATGCCTATAATACCAGCACTTTGTGAGGCCTAAGTGGGAGAATCCCCTGAGCCCAGGAGTTTGAGACAAAGCTAGATGACTTAGAGAGAGCCCATTTCTTTAAAAAAAAAAAAAAAAAAAAAAAAAAAAAAAAAAAAAAGCAGGACATTGAGGTGAAATGCCTGTAGGGTTAGTTAGTCAGGAGGCTGAGGCAGGAGAATTGATTGAGCCCAGTAGTTTAAGGTTGAAGTGAGCTATGATTGCACCACTGCTTCACTGCATTCCAACTTCAGAAACACAATGTGACCCTCTCTCTCTCCCTCTCTCTTTCTCTCTCTTTCTCAGAAGAAGAAGGAGGATGAGGAGGAGGAAGAGGAGAAAGAAATGATATGGAAGAGGGGCAGGGAACTGCAGGGAGGAGAAGGGTGGGTCCCTGGCAAGGGCTCCACCCTTGGCTTGTGCCCAGGGACCTAGGTGAGGACAGGCACTCCTGCTTTCACACCCAAATGTTGCATTTCCCAAGATCACTCTGCCTTGCCACACCCCCATCATATGCCTATAAAACTCCTGAGACTCTAGCAGGCAAGCACACAAGTGGCTGGACGTCAAAACGAGTGGATTAGCAGAAGAAGAAACAAGTGGCTGGACATCAAAAGGACATCCAGGGGAGCACGCAGGCAGGCCATCAACTGGCAGAACAATGCGGAGTTTGGCTGGGGCAATTGAAGAAGAGTCAGGCTGCTCAGCAGCCCTACTCTAGGGGAAATCCGTCTGCCTGCTGGCTCCCCCATCTGCTGAGAACTACTTCTACTCAATAAAACCTTGCACTCATTCTTCAAGCGCACGACAATCCCATTCTTCTGATAAACCAAGGCAAGAACCCCTGATATAGAAAGCCCTTTTTTCCTGTGATAAGGCAGGTGTCTAACTGAGCTGACTAACACAAGCCATCTATGGACTGCTAAACTAAAAGAGCATCGCATACCGGGCAGAAGGAAGCCAGGCAGGAAGAGAGGTTCAGATGCTCCTTCCACCATAAAATATAGTAATAACTAGCTTTCTAATATGTACATCACAACTTTGATATTTGAATATTTGTAAAGCAGTTTTTAGTTTTATATCCTGTATAGCATTCTTGTAATCATCTATACTAATATTTTTGATGCAAATGTGGAGTTACTTTTACAACTCAGATAGCAAGTAGATGTTCTAGCATGCATCCTGCTTTTTGGGGGGCTATAGTAGGGGATATGCAGTTTTCTTTATCCACAGTGTGCTCTTTCTATTTGTCCACTTGACAATATTGTACTCATTCTTCAAGTCTCAAGTCACATACCACTTCTTCAATGTGTAGCCTTCACTTATTGCCCCAGAGAACTTGGTGCTTCTTTCTTGAGATCTGAAAGTAATTTTAATGCAGTTTTACTGTTGCAGTAATTTGTTATCTAGAGAACACTGCCCATTTCATTGCCTCATATTGAGCATTGCTCATTTTAATTCTAAGACTCACCACAAATAATTATTCAAAAATTTATGTAATCCTAGGTCATCTAAAAACCAAAGCTTTTATACCTCATGGTGGAGCCAATGGCACCTATGAGAGGATCTACCATGGGATCCCTGTGGTGGGCCTTCTTTGTTTGTAAATTAACCTGATAAGTTTGCTCACATGAAGGCTAAGGCATAAGCTGTTAGAGTAGACTCAAAAACAATGTCAACTATAGATTTGATCAATGCATGAAAAGCAGTCATTAATGACTCTTCATGAATGTATTTTTTTAACTACATAGCATGTGTTGATAACTTCTCACATGAAGGCCAAGGAAGCAGCAGTGACTTTAAACAGGAACACAGCACTGAGTACTTTTTTTTTGGTAATGCTTAAAGACAATTGTCAATAAACCACTGTGAGTATCACAATCTGTTTTTTTGGTGGTTTTAGTGGAAACATTTGTCAGAGATTTTAGGATAGTACATACATTTTAAAATAGCCAAAAAGTGAAATAAGAGGAATTGCTGAAGATGGTAACAGGAAGATGATAAGGAAGACTGAGAACAAAGTTGAAGGAAAGAAGCATGAACATTATTACAGCACTGACTAATTTTCAGCACAGTTATGAGGGTCTTTTAGGATGAGATCTCATCAAATATTAGTCTTTAAATAAATTTTGTTTTGTCTATTGAAGGTATGTGAAGTGATATTTTGGGATACAAATACTTAGTTAAAAGACTACCATAATGAAGTAAATAAACATGTCCATCATCTCACTTTACTTACCCTTTTTCCATGTTTTTAAAACTCTTGTAAAATAATTTATTTTCAGTAAATCAGCATGACAATCTATCTCTAATTCCCATTATATTTAATGCTTTCCAAATTTTTATGCTTACATTTTGATCCCATCACTGATAACTTGCAAGCAACTAAAGCTTTCAAACTTGCCTTTAAAAATTATTGAAAAAAGAAAATACTTTATAAGTGTAGCCATATTCTTGCTCTTATGGTTGTGGTTGCTTTTGCTTATTTGGAAGATTTATAAAATTGAGAAATAATTGACTTGAAAGAGATAAATTGGAATATTCCCATTTAATAGCCAAAATGTCTGAAACCAGAAATAGAGGATTTTAAAATTATTTCAATACATATATTAATTTCAGTTATGCTATTGCTATTATATTGGTAATATGAATAAATTTTAATTAATGCTCTGTTGAAAAATAATTTTTAATTAGTTAATGAACATTGTATATGAAATGACATGCATTATATTGGTAATTTGTATTATGTAACTTCTTGGTTATAGTTTTTCCCAATTGTATTAAAAATATGTATCAGGATTAATGCCCTCCTCTAAAAAAACATAGTCTTCTTACTCTGTTTTTTAAATATCAAAGAGAGAAGTTACCTCCATTGATATTGCTACAGTGCCATGCTTTAGCAATTTTTGATTTTGACTTGGTAAGCCTCATACTTATATTCATCCTTATTCCTTATTAGTCAATAATTATTTCAACACTCTAAATAAATGGAACTACAATGCCTCAAAGTAAAATATTAAGCACCACTTAGATTTTAAAATCACAATGCAAGTAAAACAGTAATAATAGTGAACATCTACTTATTCTCTTAATGATGAGAATAATTCTACCAAGTATCCTAAAAATCATTACATTACTACTCACAATAATCAAATAAGTAAGGTACCATTCTTATTCATTCAATTTAACAATAAAAAAAAAACTAGGAACAGATACATTAAAAAAAAAAGATCAGTAGATATCAGGTCATGATTCAAACTAAGGCCATTTACTTTTATATTTTTAATCACTAATTCACTGATGTAATGTCAGTACTAATTCCTGATCAATGTCAACTTCTTATCAGCTTTGCCCTGACATGTACCTGAACCTTGTCACAGATTTGTCTCCTATCTCTAGACTTTGATACTATTTTGAAACACGCACATCAGGTTCGTTACAATTTCATTAATGGCTAATTCAACCTCTGTACCCTCAAATGATTTCTTTTTATCCTTCAGACTTAACTAATTTTAATTTCTAGGATGGAAATACTTGTTCTCTCTTAAATTCTCTTTTCACATTTTGAAATCTTATGCATCCAACAAATTCTAACCCATAAACCAAAATCTCTATAACCACCAGGAAATAAAATATTTTATTTTTCATCTACTTTTATGTGGCACTAATTGTTAACATCTACACAAAAATTTCACATATTTATATTTTATATTCCATAAGTTTATGTCTATTTGATTTTCCTTTAGCAGTAAAGAGAATGTTATATGGTTATCGGTCATTCATTATGATCAGCTTATGAAGCCCATGGACCAAAAAGTCTTCTGGATCAAGTTTGTCATGCGCCACAGAGGAGCCAAGTACTTGCCGCCACCTGCGAAAAACCTCATCTGGTTCCAGCACTGCTCTCTGGTTGTGCTGGCCTGCGAGGCAATTTTTACTCTTTTTTCATAATATGTTCCTTGTTTGATTATCAAAAGTTTGTTAAGACAAGAAAGAAAAAAAAGAAGGTAGCACTGTTTGATATCTAAGGCAGGCAGGCATGATAGGGAAGGTCATGACATTTAATGCCACCACTATTCATCAAGGTGTGGCAAAATTCTCCTCTATATTTCACAAGACTTGTGCCTTCCTGATTTATTCAAATATTTTATTCTTTGCTAAATATTAAGTAATATACAATTTTAATTTCAGAAAACCTAAAATAATTCCATTTTAATGCTTACTCATGTATATTTCTAAGCTAAAAAAATGAGATGCACTGGAAACTCAGGCTGTTTATTTATGAAGGTCAGAAATAGTGCATTTCTACTGTGCATTTTTAGAAACCTCTTTTTTATTTTTATTTTATTTTATTTTTCATTTCCAACATTTATTGTAAGTTCAGAGATACATGTGCAAGATGTGCAGGTTTGTTACGTAGGTAAAGAATACTCTTCTATATAAACAAATCACAATGATGTGTATTATATGTGTCCCTGTCAAAGAAAAACAGAGCAAGATCCTTCTTAAAAATGGCAAGACAGATTTTATTCTGACTACTGAAGTAGGAGATAGAGACTACTGTATAAATTGAACTGAACTCTAACTAAGACAAAGGTAATTGAGGCTTTTAAAGAGAAAACTGATATGAATAAAAATGAGGAAAACAAGGAACTAGTGGGTTACATGGAAATGAAAAATTACATAAAAATTAAGAGGGAAATAATTGAAAATTATGAGGCAACATGGGTTAGACAGTGTATGTTTTGCAGTTTGGCAGGATCATATTCTTTAGAGCCAAGACCTACCATGGAAGTTAGGGTGACCTTTAAAGACAAATTCCTGACCTAGTACACGTATAAGTTAAGCTAAACTTGGCCAAGTCTCTTAACATGGTGTTTAGGCAAGTCTTTTGTGCTACATGGGAGTTTAAAATTCAAATCCTTCATGAAATACAAAATAGTTCTTAATGGAAATGTTCTTTGCTTTAAAATTATAGGTGGTCGTAACTGACTTCCTATACAAAACTATGCAACCTGGTAAAATCCTTGGTTAGAAAGACTAAAGATGTTTTCCACATGAGGCCTTAAATATGCTTGAGTTACTATTTTCACTTTAGTAATGACCCTTTGTAACTGGATAATAATACACAAAATAAAGGAAGAGGCTAGTTCCCTTTAGTTAGGCATTATAGACATGGTCCCGCAGGTTTAGCCCAGTCTCTCTAGATTATAATGTTACATGATTTCTCTCCTGCAACAAGATCTCACTATTTCTTGGCCTTATTTTGTTAAGCCAGACATTTCTGACTTCTTTAATACCGGGAATACTGAGGATACACAAATCAGAAATATATATAATCATTTTACTTGTTCTCCCATCATAATATGAAAAAATAAATTGCAGATGGAATAAAGAGCCAAATATCCTGTGCAATAATTTTTAAAATCTATGTTGAAGAAAGCATAATAAATGGCAAAAGATCTCCAAATCCTGCCTTTAAATATTGGTCATTACAGCCTCTGGATTCAGAAAAAGGTTTGCAAAGCAAGTCACAGAGAAGAAAGAACTCAACTTAAGAGCAGTTCTTCTGTCTGACAAGAGATGTGCCTGAACAATCGGATGGAAGAGAGGCATAATGATCATTTCTAACACATGAAAAAGATTTTTATAGTTCTCTTTTCTATAAAAAATATTTTTATCAACAATTGGTTATAAAACAAATCATTTTAATATCTAGAAAAGGAATATACACTGAATATTTTACTTTATTAAACTTTGAACATATAGTCATGCCACTAGAAAGAAAAAATAACAAAGTGTAAGAAAGGAAAAAAGTAATGCATTCGTGCACTTTTAATTATAGTAATGTCTTTTTATTAAAGAGGGAAAACTTATAGATAAATATGAGTCTGAGGCAATAATGATGCTCAACATGTACTACAAAAGCTAAATTCTAGTCTGTTTATATTTTCTTAATGAAGTATCTTCTGAAAATGTATCAGAATATATCAGAATATACTTTCCTAATAAGGTATGTTATGAAAATAGATCTTCTTTGAAATTTTTAGACCATATATCCAGATACATAAATCTATGTCTATCCATGAGTGAACAAGTAATATTTTCACTAGTTTAATTTGAGGAAGACTTTCTACATAAAGTGATATGTACATATATACTTAGGAAAATATATGAACATGAAGGTATACTTGATGGAGAGTCATAAAAATTCCATAGTAAATTGAACTACAAAAATTGCAATAATATGATGTGTCTGCTTCTTAGAGATTGATTCTACAAGCTTTTAAATATCTCAGCAGTTAAAAACATTTAAACACAGAAGAAACTAATTATGTTGGGGCATCTTCTGTAGGGGCACTGCACATAACGGGAATGGGAGTCAAACATCTAGATGTTCCCACTTAGCCTCTGGTCATCCAGGGCTCATTTTCTGGGAGGAGCAAAATGTTCTTTCTCTTCAAAGCTGAGGAGCTCAGTCCCTCATTTATCTATAAAATGACAGTTCTATCTTCATGCAAATGTGCAGACAAGCCAATTGAGTTTATCTTTTGGATAAAAGGCAATGGAGAAGACTCTTCAGAATGCACCCCAGAACTAGAATTAGAATCCTAAACAACAACTTCCTAGGAAAAAAATAAGTTCAGGAAAAATTGATGTCTGTCAACCAAAGGGAGATCCAGGGCTCAAGAGGACTGACCAGTTCCATCAGAGGAGCTTAAAGTTTGAAAGGCCTTCAATGGGCCCCTTCTGGTACTTTAGTTTCAAGTTCAGGAAACATTTTGGGGGTCCTGGGTTTTCTGGGAGTTCCCACATGTTCAAGTGTCAAATTATTGTGAGGAAATGAGTCAAACTCTGTAAAATATTCAAAGAGATTTATTCTGAGCCAAATATGAGTGACTAATGGCCCATAACACAGCCTTCAGCTGTTTAGAACATGTGCCCAATGTCCTCAGGCTACAACCTGGTTTTATACAATTTAGAGAGATGTTCCACATCAATCAATACATGTAAATGATACATGGGTTTGGTCTGAAAAGGTGGGGCAACTGCAAGTGAGATTCTGAAGGTCATATTTAGATTCAAAGATTTTCTGATTGGCAGTTGGTTAAAAGAATTATCTTATTGTCTAAAGCATTAGAATCAATAGAAAAAAATGTTTCTTTTCAAACTTAAACAGTGTATTCTATCAGTATTTTGTTCTGTGGTGATGTAATGCTGTCAGCTTTTTCTGAATTCCAAAATGGAGGAGGCTCTAATGGAGCTCGTCTCATTTCTCCCATTTCCAAAATGGCCTGAACTAGCTTTTCAGGTTAACTTTGGAATGCCCTTTGTGAGCGGAAGGGTTCATTCAGATGATTGCGGGCCTTAGAATATTATTTTTCATTAACATTTTTCCCCTTCTTGCCAGGGTTTGCCAGAGGCAAGGTCAATGGCCAGCAAACTCTTATTTTGTTCCATAGCATTGCTGGGATGGCATGTGCCCTGGGTTCCTACTGTCTGTGGTTGAGACACCTATGGCTAAGAGACTTAGAGCCAACATATTTACAGTCAACTTAAATGTACTAGACCAGACAGGAATGAATACGGACAAGCATTATAATTAACTCTTAAAATTTTTAAAGTAATATAAAACCCAAGAAACAGAAAGCCAAAGTTGAGGTTAAAAAACTAACTTATCTTAAATTGTTATATGCATAGCTAATGTAGTCTTTGTTTTAGTTACTGACCTATACCAATTAGCTATACAATACATGAACATTGTTAAAAATGCTTTTTTGCAATTTAGAGGCTTTTGCTGTGCTGCAAGACTTTATGAAGTCTTTTAGTAATTTAATCTAATGTGGCTTAAAAAAATTGTTTCAAATATGTATCTATCTAAATAAAATCTCATAATTGTGAGTATTATATCCAGGACATTTTGTCATGAGGTATCATAATATTCCCTCTGTAATAATTTTATTTTAGTTCTACAGGAAACAGAAAATTCTTTATGGTTGGGATAAATAAAAATGTGTCATATAATAGCTCAGAAAGCAAAGTTCCTAGTTTTTCCAGCTGTTTATCTCCCCTTCTTGACTTGGAGGGTCTGAATTAATTCTATCCCTCAAAACCGGCCCTTACAATCTCATGGTCCCACCATTTCTGTGGTAGTCCCTGGACATAGAGGGAAGGTACTTGTATTGTTTTACAGAAGGCCATTTGCAGTAAAAAACAAATCAATCCCAATAGGATTTCAAATGAAGGAGATTAACAGGCTTTGTCAAATCATCTCTAGTCTTCGGAATAGCATGATTCTGATTTTCTCAGAACTAAAACTAGGGGGAGACATTGATAACATTAATAATTTGACAAAAGAGAATGTGGGTGCCAGAGGAGAAAAAAAAAAACTATTCCATTAGGGTGCCAAACAAAAACATGAAGAAAAATGATAACCTGGTATTCTTTAGGAGATTATTGCAGCCAAGAAATGAGTCATGATTCAACCTGCACTCAAAAACAAAAGTGACTTTTCTTTTGAAACAATGTCTCTCTCTCTAGTTGCTTTTCATACTAAAAAAAAGTTCAATTTGTGTGCAAAATAAGTTTCAGGATTATTATACTTGGCCTTATTATTCACATAAAGTTCAGCAAGAATTGTTTGGCCACATAGGCTCTTTTCAAGTTAGCTTTACTGGAACTTTACGTAAAAACGTTATTCTAGTCAAAGCCTTGGTAAAATAACTGGTGTCTCCAATTGTCCTATTTTAAAAATATATATTTTTTACTAAACTTATACCAATAACAATATTACCACACAATCAAAAGACTCATGAACAGTTTGCAAATTTTGGAGAACTCAGAGAGGTAAATTTGCTTACAAAAGCAAATTTTACCCAATTGCTCTAAACTATAAAAAACTCAAAAGAAAAATATTTCTTTGACTCCTCTTTAACTGGAGCAGCAGCTTTCCAAACAAGAAGGCATGTATTCACCTTTGAACTGCCATTCACAAGATAAGCAGCTCTTGTAATATGAGAGCTTTTTATTAAGCACTGTAGAATATAACAGCTCCTCGCATAGTCAGAGTCCATCCTAAGGAGAAAAAGAGGCTCCCTGTTCATAAATATGTCTTTCTTGCATCCCAGGTAGCAAGATTCTGTATAAACCATTTTTATTTTATCATGGAACTCTTTCAGTCACCATTATTTCTGCTAGCATAGAAGTAGTTTCAGTTAACATCCCATAGCAAAGCTGTAAATACTTCTCAAGTGGAAATTCTCTAGTCCAAAGTCCCAGTAATTGTCATTTGAAAGTGCTCACAGGCTTTTGCCATAAGCCCAAATAAACTTTCCACAAAGGGCTATGAAGTGAAGGATTTGTCTCAACCAGCACTTTAGCTAGTACTCACTTAGCTGTCCAAATAGCATTTTTCAAAGAGCAGGTTTACATGCCTTCAACTTTATACAACTACATCAGGAAAATCTCCCCCATTCAGATAGAATACCCATTTTCATAAAACATTTAGGTAAAGGAATCACAACCACCTTACATATAACCTGTTTAAACATCTCAAATTTCATAATCCTCTCAACATTTACAATTTTATGCTCTGATCCCAGGAGCTTTTCTTCTTTATCTTCAAACCAATTTACCTTTCTGGTAAAAAATTAACCCTCCCAGAAGAGGGTTGATCCAAGAGACTCAAGCCCTTTTATCAATTTTTTATCTAAACTTGCCTCAACATTGCGCAGGCAATGTCAGCTTTCCCATTAGATTACAAACTTTGCTTTAAAAAAAATCCAATCTAAGGCAAATACAAAAAAACTGGTGTAGGTCCCTATAATGTTTGAAGATCAGCAGGGGCTCCCTTTTGTTCACCCCACTTTTATAGCATTGTAAAAGCCTTTGTTTTTACCCTATCAATTTTTATTTTATTTTATTTCTTAATAATCATCTAAAGATTTCCACCATGATAGATGAGTCCTTTGACTCCCTTTTACCTTGCCCAATTTTTTAATTACCCTAATGTTTTAATAACATCGGTAAGATCCATGGGGGACAGCAAATTTGGGAAGGCTTCTCAAACAGCTCTTTGATTCTGCAGGAGTAATGTCACCTGGGATGCCCAGGTAGAAGGGTCCCCCTAAACCATAGCATTTACTATGACCAGGGTAATAGGTATATTTAATTGAATAATATTCTGGTCATCATAAAGCCAGTTCCATATGGTTTGCATATGAAGCATATCAGGTGCTTCATCTGGGGAACTCCACCTGGAATTTTACAGGGTGAGTTGGGCAGTCCATTTCTCAGGGTAATCAAACCTTATGGTGGCAATTATTCAGTCCACTGGGCTGCTTGTGAAGCTGGGTCACATATACTCCTCAGTGATTGCTTAATCGTGAGCTGTGGGACCTGCATAAACCCCTGCTTTTTCATTCTGTAGCATTTAAAATAAAAAATATTGCCCTTAAAGTAGCTATTTTTCCAGTCCATTATAGTAAACGTTTCTCAGGAAACTGATTATATTATTCTACAAAGGAGCAATTTCTTTACATTATACCCTCTGGGTTTAATAGTTAACTTCTTTTTCTATTTAAGTGCATTGGCTATCTTCTTGGTAACTACAGGTCTCAAAGGTAACTTTGTTGCCCTGGCTTAAGATGTGTGTGTGTGTGTGTGTGTGTGTGTGTGTGTGTGTGTGTGTGCCTGTGTGTGTGTCTAGCTTTGAAGCTAGTGGCCTGAGCTGAGAGTCCACATGTAAATTTGGTCAAGCCTTAAGGCAAAACTCCGCACTCTTTTACTTTCATTTTAGCGATTACAGATAGCAATAACCAAGGGAATTAACATTTTGTAGTTTTCTTATTAGTTTCCATTTTGTTATGCATTCACTGAACTAACTCCCTGGGAGTATGTCTATCATCCATCTCTAAATTCCACTGGTAACTTTTACCTTTGGTAACTGAATGCAGCCCAGCTGCAGCTTTTGAAGATGGGAGACCATGTAGCCACCTGAGAGTCAAAAGTTTCTTATTTCCTGAGTTTTCACTTTTCTCTTTATCCATCTGGTCATATATATATATGATATATATATCATATATACATCATATATATCATATACATCATATATATCATATATATCATATATATCATATATATCATATATATCATATATCATATATATCATATATATCATATATATCATATATCATATATATCATATATATCATATATATACACACACATACACATATATACACACACATACACATATATATATACACACACATATATATGTGTATATATACATATATATATATATATATGTATATATATAAATTTTAAGTTGACTCAGCCTCGAGAACACTTGGTCACAGGGTGGGGAACATCACACACTGGGGCCTGTCGTGGGGTAGGGGGAGGGGGAAGGGATAGTATTGGGAGAAATACCTAATGTAAATGATGGGTTGATGGGTGCAGTGGGCCAGCATGGCACATGTATACTTACGTAATGAGCCTGCACATTGTGCACATGTACCCTAGAACTTAAAGTATAATAAAACATAAAGAAAAAAAATTACATTTTCAATAGCAAAAATCACATCCTTCTGTTTTTATAAACCTCACCCAAAAAAACTTTTTATTCTACAACTATTTTAACTCTTTGTAACCTAAATTCTCAGTGACCATACTGAGGATTACTTAATTTAACATAACATGACTCAGATTTTAAACTATTGGAGAGAAATTTGAGATTAAATTTTCCAAATTAATGTTACCAAATATTGCTATAGTCATGTGAACTCAAAGGTATCCAAGCTAGCTTTTATTAGTGTGATAAGCAATTAACTTTTCTTTAAGTCAGTTGGTTAGAGCTCTTTCATATATTTTGATATTGAAATATCACTTCCACATGACACAAGTAATATATAGACATAACAGACATACAAAGGCAAATGTTGGGAACAGGCCCCAAAATCTGGCCATAAACTAGTCCTAAAACTGGCCAGAAACAGTCTCTGCAGCACTGTGACATGCTCTTGATGGCCATGACACTCATGCTGGGAGGTTTGCGGTTTACCGGAGTGAGGGCAAGGAACACCTGGCCCACCCAGCGCAGAAAACCGCTTAAGGCATTCTTAAACCACACACAATAGCATGAGCGATCTGTGCCTTAAGGACATGTTCCTGCTGCAGATAACTAGCCAGAGCCCATCCCTTTATTTCGGCCCATCCCTTTATTTGCCATAAGGAATACTTTTAGTAAATCTTATCACTGGCTTGCTGTCAATAAATGTGTGGGTAAATCTCTGTTCGAAGCTCTCAGCTTTGAAGGCTGTAAGACCCTTGACTTCCCACTCCACACGCTATATTTCTGTGTTTGTATCTTTAATTCCTCTAGCACCACTGGGTTAGTGTCTCCACGACTGAGCTGGTTTCAGCAGGCAGATTGAAAAATGTTTTTCATTTGCCTGTTTTCAAAAACTGTCTCCTTTGCTTTAGACTAATAATAAAAAGAAATGTTACAGAATTTAACAAAAGTTTAAGGAGAGAGTTACCATCCAAGGCCTTCTCAAAACAGAGAAAGAGCTGAAGCAGCAGGGTTCAGCAGAAACTAAATTTCTATTACACTGATTATACAGTTTAAAAACTGAAAGATTCTTGCATTGAATAACTCAATATTTTAATACAAATTTTTATAACCAATTCATTAGTTTTGTATTTGTCTAATTTTAATATTAATATCCAATTACCAGGAAGACTATTATAATCTCATTTTAATTATAGCCTACTTAATCATATGTTTTATACATTTTTTTAAATAAATTTCATTTTACTAAACTTACTATGACTTAACAGATTCTTCATAACATACTTCGGCTTTGGGGTTTGTCTTAAACATACATCTTCTTAACCTGTTATTTTATTTTTTCGTACAAGATTTGTTTTCTTGTAATCTTTCTTACCAAAGGTACCTATTTATATTTATGTTTCTTTAAATCTCTCTTATTCCCTAGTGTCTTTTGCCTTGTATTATAAATAATGTTTAAATAAACTTTGAACTACAAAAATAATTGTCTTTTAATAAAAAACCATTTTTTAAAGTTTCCTTATAATTTTTGAAATTGAAAAGTACCCATACATTTAACATATATCTATTATTTAATATAATTTTAGATTCCAAATTATATGACATTCATTTTAGTATAGTCACGTAATACATTTATTTAATAGTTTACTTAGATTATTTATAAAAACTGTGACAGTCATCATTTAATTATTTTTTTGTTGCTGTTAAACATTTTTATACCCTATGAATTTCAGGAATTTACCTAACTAAGAAACTTAAGGTTAAATACATGGGTATTTTACCAATAACTCAGGATTTAGTTGCTTTCACTAAACCAATAATATTAAATGTCTTCTTTACTAAAAATTACACAAGCAAAGATCATTCTGTTTTGGGCTGGGTTCATAGTATTACAAACCTTAGGCCAAATTTTGGCACCTTACAATATTTGGCAGGAAAAAAAAATATTTGGCAGGAATAAGTATGAAACCACTTGATCAATAAGTGGAAAGAAATATGCTGACAATTCTTAAGACATCTCTAGTATTACTTTACCAATAATTTTAAAGCTAGCTTATTCATTAAAAATTTTACTTAAGTCACATGGACTTGAAAAGCCATTAGGCTTATTATTTCCTTAATTTATGAGGTCTCCTTAACTTTAATTTAATTTGGTTCCTTGTAGCTATAACACACAAAAAATACACGTATGTGCAGATAAACAGACACATACACACTCATAACAAAGATTCTAGAGCTTTTACTTTAGAACTCCAGACATGAGATATTGATACAAACTCACTGGTTTACAAGTAATAATAATAATAATAAAAAGAAAAAAACACCAAAACAATGGTCCTAGCCAAAAAGTGATTTTTTTTTATCAGTAGAAAACTAACAGTAGACTTAAAGCAAGTAGGGGAAAAAAATAGAAAAATAGAGAACATAGAAATTTTCTAGTACATGTCAGCCTTTGGGTCTAAATTTTTACTTAACGTAATTTGGCCATCAGTTTAAAATGTGCAAAACAGAACATAATATGTAACTATTTGGAGCACTAGAAAGTCTGATACTCCATTCTCACATTGTTAAAAAGAACTACCTGAGACTGTGTAATTTATGAAGAAAAGAGGTTTAATTGACTCACATTCCACAGGGTGTATAGGTAGCATGACTGAGGAGGCCTAAGAAAACTTACAATCATGCCAGATGGTAAAGTGGAAGCCAACATATTCTACATGGCTGGAGCAGCATGAAGGCTGGGGGTGGTGACACACACATTTAAACAACCAGATCTCATGAGAGCTGTATCACAAGATAACACTAGGAGGATGGTGCTAAAACATTAGAAACCACCATCACGATTCGATCACCTCCTACCAGCCTCCACCTCTAGCACTGAAGATAACAATTTGTAACAGTTCATTCTCACACTGCTAATAAAGACATACCCAAGACTGGGTAAATTATACAGAAAACAAGGTTCAATGGACTCACAGTTCAGCATGGCTGGGCTGGCCTCAAGAAACTTACCATCATGGCAGAAGGGGAAGCAAACGTGTCCTTTGAGCAAAAGGGGGAAAAGCCCCTTATAAAACCATCAGATCTCATGAGACCTCACTCACTATCATGAGAACAGAAGCATGGGAATAACCAGTGCCATGATTAAATTACCTCCCACCTGGTCCCTCCCAAAACACATGGGGATTATGGGAACTATAATTCAAGATGACATTTGGATGCTGACACAGCTGAAACACATCACATTTTAAAATGAGATTTGGGTGGGAACATAGAGCCAAACCTCCCAAATCTCATGTCCTTCTCACATTTTAAAACAAAATCATGCCTTCTCCACAGTCCTCCAAAGTCTTAGCACATCCCAGAATTACCCAAAATGTCCAAATCCTAAATTTCATCTGGGACAAGGCAAGTCCCTTCCACTTATGAGCTTGGAGAATAAAAAACAAGTGAGTTACTTCCAAGATACAGTGGGGATACAGCAACTGAGTGAATGTTCCCATTTTAAAAGAAAAAAAATGGCCAGAACAAAGGCCCCAGGCAAGTCCAAAACCCAGCAGGGCACTCATTCAATCTCAAAGATCCAAAATAATTTCCTTTGACTCTATGTCTCACATCCAGGGCATACCAGGGCAATAGGAGGGCTCTCAAGGCTTTGGGAAGCTCTGGCCCTGTGGATCTGCCTGTCTTTTTCTCATCTTCCTGTCTTTTTAGGAGCCCTCCAAACTATTCCAACCTCTGCCCATTACCCAGTTCCAAAGTTGCTTCCACATCTTCAGGTATCTTTACAGTAATGCCCCACCTCTCTAGTTTTCTGTATTAGTTTGCTGTCACATTGTTCTCACATCTTCTGTATTACTTTGTTTTCACATTTGTTCTCATATTGCTGTAAAGAACTACCGGAGACTGGGTAATTTATGACGAAAAGAGGTTTAAATTACTCACAGTTCCCTAGGCTGTATAGGTACCCTGTCTGAGGAGGCCTCAGGAAATTTATAATTATGAGAAAGTGAAGGGAAGTCAACATGACCTACCTGATTGGAGCAGGAGGAAGGTGGGGGAAGCTGCTACGCACTTTTAAACAACCACATCTTCTGAAAGCTCCATGGCAACACAGCACTAGGGGGTGTTCCTAAACCATTAGACGTGGAATGCCCTCACACTTCTCCATTTTACACAAATGCTTTCAAATGGAAGACCCATGAAACCAAAAAATTGTTCCAAAGCAGTTTTTCTCATTGTCTTTCCTCATTCTTAAATTCTTTCACACTTCTTTTCTTAAAAGGAGGAACCGAGCTGTAGCCTAGGCTTTTTTGTGTGGTGCATCAATGTGTGCTGATTGTAAGTGAGACTCCACATGTTTTAACGTTGAGTTGTTTCTGCCTTGTTACATGTGTTAGTGAATCTTTAAAATCCTTGTTCTTCAGTGCCGTAAAGAAATAGCACTGGAACATAAATTTAATTTCTTCAGCGAGGCCAATTTTTTTTTTTACTTTATGCAGAAAGGGTGCACACATCAGCAGTTTTGCCATGAGAGTACACCAAATAAAGGAGACGGTCATTTATAACTTGACATGTCAAGCTTACTGCTGTGTCCGGGGTTTCTATTGGAAGGAACAGGACATCACATTGTGTATTTGTCCTGATTGGCTAGCAACTTAGAACTTTTTAAAAGAGGCAAAGGCAGAGGAGAACAAAGGAAGGCAGAAGTAACTTGTGGTATACTGAGAAAGGTAAAAACACCTTCAAATAAGGAAGAGGAACAGGCTATGACCTAATGCTTGCTTAGACCAGTGTAAGCATGCCAGGGCAAATATTTACACTAAATTGTGGGAGCTGAGAACATAAAATACATTGATTTCTTTATTATGGTTAGCAGATATTTAAGAATGTTAGCACAGGTCTTTGAATAAATTTTGCTTGTAAGAGAAGTTACTACTTATTCTTAATTAGATGGAGGGGAAGTCTTTGAAGAGGAATCTCTACTTTACTTTTTACACCGAAGCAGCCTAGGGTCACTGGAGCAGTCTTGTTGTTTGAGGTATTACCAGGAGTTCTTGAGAGGGTTGTCATTCATTTCACAGTTGAATCCAAAGACTTTTATAAAAAAAAAAAAAAAAAAAAAAAAAAAAAGCTAATAGGGCAGAGTGTTTCATTCACATAAGGCACGAAAAACAGGTTAGGACTGGATGTCTTATTTGCATACATACAAATTCTTGTTAGCTCCACCTCTTCTCTCTAGTGTGCATGCAGGTCCTTAGCCTGAGTTACTGCATATTGTTTTATTTTGCTTATTGCGTATGTGTCACTGCAGACGTGTCTGGTTCTGTGTAAGTTTCCTTATCTATACAGCTACAGGTCTGTCTTAGGCAAGCACCCTGTGCAAGTTCCTTTACCTGAGTGTGTCCAGAAAGAAAAGGAATGTGCTCACCAAAGGCCACCGTGTGTAGGCGGAGCTCACTGGTTGCACAGAAGACAAGGGCTTTGGACTTTGCTTCCTTATCTGTGCTTGCAGCTTGATTTCTTCCACATTGTCATTTTTTGGGGAGGACTTCTACCAAGAACCTGTCCTAACTATCTGCCTAACTGGTTACTTATTCTTTCTTCTCTCATTAGTTTCTCTCTCCAGACATCTATCACCTCCATGAGGGCTCAAAACACCGAGTGATCAGCTCTTTATGCGTTTGCTAGATGAGCTTTTTAAAACTCATTTTACCTAATGTCATTATCAGCCTTCTGCTTATTAAGACAGAAACCACAACCATGTCTTTTCTCCTGTACATTTTTTCCTACCTCAGATATTATCAGTAAATACAAATTTTAAATTAATTTCTTGCAGTTACTATTAACAATTTGTGTTTCATTCCATTAGGTTGGCATGTCTCAGTAACTAATATACAATTTTATCATTTTCCCTGCTTTTAAACTCTTACCTTTACATACCACTCTATGTTGAGATGCAAGAATTTCTTGCTAAAGAAAGGCTTGATCTTGTGACTGTCTTTTAAAACTTGAGTGAAGAATTATTTGCCAATAAATTATCATTCAAACTCATAATTGTTTATTTAAAACTAAGTTCCCCTGTTTCAAACTAACTTTCTTCTGTAATGTCCTGCCCTGACCTTTCTCTGTGATCACTACTCACTGGAATGATTTTCAAATATTCTATACTTTCAAATATTTTCAAATATTCTATATTCTATGTGTAGACATATACATATAGTGTGTGTGTGCATGTGTGTATACTGGAAATAAACATTTTTTAAAAGTATAGGAAATAGTGACCTGAACTGATCATATGCTGGGCAAAAACTCAAAACTCAATTAGTTTGTTGAGATTCAAAATCATAAAAAGTATGTGGTCTAGCTATACTAGAAATAAATTAGAAATCATACAAAGAATGATAACTAAAAAATTCTCTAAACTTTGGAAATTAAAAATACATTTTTAAAAAATTCAGTCAACAAAATATTGTAATTATACATGCACATTTATCTCAGCAACTCTTCTCCCAATTATATATCTAACAGAAATTAATATGTAAAACTAATGACATACATATAGATAAATATATTTATACCAGAATAACTAATAATGTCCAAAAATGTAAACAACCCAGGTGTCCATCAGTTATAAAATAAAGAAATACTCTGTGGTATTTGTCAATCAACAGAATACTATACAGCAATGTAATTAACCAATAACTGCTATACAAAAAAAGACACAAGTATATATTATATAATTCAATTATATAAACAAGTAATGTTAATTTATTAAATTAGAATTCAGGTTAATACTTAAATTGAGAATGAAAACAGTGACTAAAATGGTCCAAAAGGAGAGAGTTCCTCTAGGCAGGTTTTAATAACCCAGAACCTAAGAAGTAGGTGTCTTTATTTCAGGATAATATTTAACATAATCTTAAAATTTTGAGTTACTCACTAGTGTGTGTATATTTATCTTATGTATCTCATACTTAAGATTTTATTTTAGAAGATATATAAAATATTTTAAAGTTCTAGAAATTAAATAGCAAAATAAGCATGAAACACTGGAGAAAATTCTACAGGTACTATATAGTGTGGCCAGGAAAAGCCTCTCTAACAAGTATCATTTAAGGGGAAGCCTCAAAAAGAGATAGAAGCAAGCCTCATTTTATTGCAAGACAGAATGCTCTGAAAAGGGAGAGAGGAGACAAAAGGTGTAAAGGGGCTAAGGTGAGAATGCCTTTGAGAGCTTCAAGATTAATAGAAGCCCAGTGTCCCTAGAAGAGAGTATGCAGGGGGAAAGTGTTAGGAGAAGTTGCCAGTGCCTGACCATGTCAAGTTCTGTAGACCAAAAACAGATCTTATTCCCTTTTTTTCTATTAAAAAGCATGTCATTCTTTTTTATTTTATTTTTTATTTAACTTTTACTTTATGTTCAGGTTAAAAAATGCAAGTTGTTATATAGGCAAACTTATTTCTTGGGGGTTTGTTGTACAGATTATTTTGTCACCCAGGTATTAAGCCTAGTAAACACAAATTATTTTTTTCTGATCTTCTCCCTCCTATCACCCTCTACACTCTGCTAGGTCCCAGTGTGTGTAGTTCCCCTCCATGTGTTCATTCATGTCTTCCCATTACAGATTCTCTTCTTAATGTGATGAGAATCCAGATGGAAATCTTAATCAGTGGAGTGTCATAATCTGACATTAATTTCAAAAAAAAACATTATTCTGGCTTCTGGAAGGAAAATATAGCAGAAGACAGAAGAGTAGAGTAGAAGCAGAGAGATTAGTTAGAGGGCATTTCAACCACTGAACACAATTATTTCTTAAAATATCAAAATAGTCCAAACACGGTGGTTCATGCCTGCAGTCCCTGCACTTTGGGAGGTGAATCAGGAGTGCTGTTTGAGTCCAGGAATTTAAGACCAGCCTGGGCAACATAACGAGATTCCATTAGAACAAACAAATTTAAAAATAAGCCAGGCAGAGTGTTTGAGCTCGTAGTCCCAACTACTCAGTAAGCTCAGTTGTCAGGATTGCTTATGCCCACAAGATCAGGGCTACTGTGAGCCCTGATAAAGGGAACAACTCCAGCCTGAGCAAGAGAGCACAACCGTCTCTCAAAAACTATGTGTATCAAAATGATCATTCTCAGATTGCATTTCTATTATCTTACTTATAGCACTTAGAGTGGCTCATCATATTTCCTCTGGTAGAAAGATGTTAACTTTCCCACCTGACTCCATTTCACTTTTAAAAAATTTTGCCTATGATAAAATTATAATTTAAAACCAAACTTTCTATGATGACCCAATTTAAAACATTCAATTTCTATGTCAATTCTATAATATTTACTTTGAATTATTTGTGTAACATTTTTCAAAGACTTTCCATAGACTTGATATATTTAGGAAAAAAATTACTTTCTATGTTGGTATTTTTCTGTTTATCCTTAGCTATGAAGAGAATGCTTTGAAATTATCAAGGATTCATCATGATCAGCCAACGAAGCCCCGGGATCAAGCGGTCTTCTGGATTGAGTTTGTCATGCGCCACAAAGGAGCCAAGCACCTTCGGGTTGCAGCCCGTGACCTCACCTGGTTTCAGTACCACTCTTTGGATGTGATTGGGTTCCTGCTGGCCTGTGTGGCAAATGTGATATTCATCATCACAAAATATTGCCTGTTTTGTTTCTGAAAGTTTGTCAAAACAGGAAAGAAGGAGAAAAAGGATTAGTTATATCAAAGGCCTGAAGCTGGAATGACCAAAAATTAGGAGTTGTCCAGTTTATTGCAGCATGAAGTGGTGGAAATGGAAAATTTCCTTCCCCCTGTGACAAAACATCATTTCACAATTGACCCTGTTAAGTGAAAAACTTCTTTTCCAGAGACTTAGTATCTATTTAAGTTGGAAATATTCCAAGTCAAATATTTAAAAACTAGGATAAATAAAAATAATAAAAAAACCCTGTGGGGTTTTAAGGTTATTATTCTAATTAACAAATGACACAAAAAACTTTACTGAGCTTAACGATGTTTCACACACTGTGCATGGAAATTACTATATTCAGAAGTTCACTTACAGTGTCAGTACTGTTTTTCATATGCTCAGAATACTTTGGCTTCATTTGGAGCAGGTACTGTTTTTCATATGCTCAGAATACTTTGGCTTCATTTTGAGCAGATTTCTATTTTTTTTTACTGTTGCCAAAGAAACTATTCAATAATTAAATTGGGCAAGAAGTCTCACTCTTCCTATTCTTCCTATTGATATTGCAGGAACAGTAGTATTGTTTGGCTTCTTCTATGCATCCATACTCAGTGTCACTGCTTTCCTAAAAGACATTACAAGTTTATCCCTAGAATGAAAGATAATGTTCAAAATTAACAAATATGATATACCACATTAACAAAATAATGAATAATAAGCAACTGTTATCTCAATAGGTGCAAATAAAAGCATTTGAAAAATTCAACAGTTTCTATGAGTAAAAAAAAAAAATCTTTTAACACCCTAGAAATATAAGAAAATCACCTTAACATGAGGAATGATACATATGAAAACCTCACAGCTAAATTCATACTCAATTAAAAAATCTGAAAAAATTTTATCTAATATCAGAACCGGGTAATGATGCTCACTCCTGCTGCTTCTATTTCACATAGTACTGTAAGTCCTAGCTAGAACAAATCAGCAAGAAAAATAAAAATAAAACAAGTTTTTAAATAAGAAAAGAAGTAAAATTACCTCTGTTTGCAGATGACATTATAGTATGTGTGGAAAACTGTAAAGACTCTACAAAATACTACTAGAAGTAAAACAAATTCAGTAAATTTGCAGGATATAAAATCAACATACAAAATTGTATTATTATTCGTATACTAACAAATAACTATCAAGAAACAGTCCAATTTATAATAGCATAAAAAATATATAGGAATAAACTTAACCAAGTAATTAAAAAAACTTCTGTACTAAAAACTATAAGACATTGATGAATGAAAGGAAAGAATACACTAATTTGGAAAGATATATTATGTTGACTGAAATATTTAATAATGTTGAAGTATCTATACAACCTGAAGTGATTTACAGATTCGGTGTAATCCCTATCACAATCCCAATGACATATTCTATTAAAAAAAACTATAATTTATGATCCTGGAAACACTCTAAATAGCCAAAACAATATGCAAAATGTAGAAACAGCTGAAGTCATCATATTTCCTTATTTCAAATTATATTTAGAGCTAGTGTAATTAAAATAACATGGTGTATTAGTCTGTTTTCACACTGCTGTAAAGTACTACCTGAGATTCAGTAATTTATAAGAAAAAGAGGTTTATTTGACTCATAGTTCCTCATGGCTGGGGAGGTCTGAGGAAACTTATAATCATGGTTGAGTGCAAAAAGAAAGCAAAGCATGTACTATATGGCAACATGAGAGAGAAAGAGAGAGAGAGAAGTGCCACAGTTTTAAACCATTATATCTACTGAGAACTCACTCACTATCATGATAACAGCATGGGGAAAATTCACCCCTGTGATCGAATCACCTCCTACCATGTCCCTCTCCTGACACGTGGGGATTACAATTCAATGTGAAATTTGGGTGAGACACAAAGCCAAACCATATTATCCCCACCTCAGCCTCTCTCAAATCTCATGTCATTCTCACATTTCAAAATACAATATCCCTTTTCACAGTACACCAAAGTCTTAACGCATTTCAGTATTAACACAAAAGTCTAAGTCAAAAGTCACATCTGAGACAAGGCAAGACCCTCTACCTATAAGCCTGTAAAATTAAAAAAAAAAAAAACAAGTTAGTTACTTCCAAGATACAGTGGGGTACAGGAATTTGGTAAATATTCCCATTCCAAATGGGAGAAATTGGCCAAAACAAAGGAGCTACAGGCTCCATGCAAGCCTGTAACCCCATATGGCAGCCATTAAATCTTAAAGCTTCAAAAAATCTCCTATAATTCAATTTCTCTCATCCAGTTCCCACTGATGCAAGGGATGGGATTCAGTGGTCTTTGGCAGTTCTACCCCTGTGGCTCCACAGGAGGGCACAGCCCCCATGGATGCTTTCATGGGCTGGCATTGAGTGCCTGTGGCTTTTCCAGGTGCACAGAGCAAGCTGTATGTGTATCTACCATTGCGGTTTTTGGAAGATGATGGCCTTCTTCTCACAGCTACACTACTCAGTGCCTCAGTGGGGAAACTGTGTGGGGACTCCACCCCACATTTCCCTTTGTATTTCCCTAGTAGAGGTTCTCCATGAGGGTTCTGCCCCTGCAGCAGACTTCTGCCTGGACATCCAGGCATTTCCATACATACCCTGAAATCTGGGCAGAAGTTCCCAAATCTCAACTTCAGCGTTCTGTGAACCTGGAGGGCTGACACCTCATCCAAGACAACAAAATATGGGGCTTGCATCCTCTGAAGCCATGGCCCAAGCTGTATCTTGATGCCTTGTAGCCACAGCTGGAGCTAGAGCAGATGGGATGCAGGGAGCAATGTCCTGAGGCCTCACAGAGCAGCTGGGCCCAAGGCCTATAGCAAAAAACAATTTTTCCCTCCTAGGCCTAAAGGCCTGTGATGAGGGTGGCTGCCATGAAGGTCTCTGAAATATTCTGGAGACATTTTTCCCATTGTGTTGGCTACTAACATTCAGTTTCTCATTACTTATGTATTTTGGCAGCCAGCTTGAATTTCAATGGGGTTTTCTTTTATACCACATGGTCAGACTGCAAATTTTTCAAACTCTTGTGCTCTGATTCCCTTTTAAACATAAGTTCCAATTTCAGACCTTTTTTTTTGAACACATATGACTGTATGCTGTTAGAAACAGCCAGGTCACATCTTGAATGCTTTGCTGTTTTGAAATCTCTTCCACCAGATACCCTAAATTATCTCTCTCAAGCTCAAAATTCCAAATATCTCTATGGCAGGGACTGCCAGTATCTTTGTTAAAGAATAGAATGATTGGCTTTTACTCCAGTTCCCAATAAGATGAGTAAGTTTAAGAGAACTGCTGCACTATATTGTGGCCATAGTTAGCAATAATGTATTATACACTTAAAATATCTTTAAAAGAGTAGATCTCACATTAAGTGTTTACACTAATGCAAGGCATACCTTCAAGATATTACAGGTTTGGGTTCAGATCACTGCAATAAAGCAAATATTGCAAAGAAGAAAGTTACACAATTGTTTTGGATTTCCATGGCATATAAAAGTTATGTCTAAACTGTCTGTATTCCATTAAGTCAGAAATAGCATTATGTATAAAAATGTACATAACTCAATTAAAAATACTTTACTGCTGAAAAATGCTAACAATCATCTGATCCTTGTGTGAGCTGTACTCTTTTTACTTGCAGAGGATCACAATTTCAATAAGACAAGAATGATGTTTACTGCATTCATTGATCTTTTCTTTCATGAAAAATTTCTGTGTAGCATGCCATGCTGTTTAATAATGCTGTATAATAGCTTTTTACCCTTAGTAGAGATTCTTTTAAAGCTGCAATCAATCCACTCAAACATTACTGCTGCTTCATTAAATAAGTTTAAGTAATATTCTAAATTCTTTGTTTTCATTTTAAAAATGTTCAAGCCATTTTCACCAAGAGTATTTTTCATCTCAATATACCCCTTTCTTTGTTCATTCATATGAAGCAACTCCTCATCTATTCAAGTTTCATCATTAAATTGAAGCAATTCAGTCATATCTTCAGGTTCTACTTCTAATTACATTTTACTTACAATATTCACCACATTTGTAGTTACTTCCTCCATTGAGGTCTTGACCCTGTCAATATTATTCGTGATGGTTGAAATCAACATCCTAAAAACTCCTGGTGATGTCGATATTTTGACCTCTTCCCATGACTCTCAAATGTTCTTAATGTCATCTAGGAAGATGAATCTTTTTTATAAAATGTTCAATTTACTTTACTAATATCCAACAAAGTAATTGCTATCAATGGCAGCTATATTCTTACAAAATGTATTTCTTAAATGCAATAACTTAAAAGTTGAAATTACTTTTTGATCCAGGGCTATAGAATGAATGTTATATTAGCAAGCATGAAAGCAACATTAATTTCTCTGTATATCTCATTTTCTTGAGTGACCAGACCTATTGTCAATGAGCATTAATATTTTGAAGGGAACATTTTTTCGTAAGCAGTAGATCTCAAAAGTGGGATTAAAATATTCAGTAAATTATGCTGTAAACAGCTATGCTGCCATCCAAGCTTTTTGATACCACTGATAGAGTACAGAATAGATTTAGTATATTTCTTCAGGGCCCTAGGATTTTCCACGTGATAAATCAGCATTGGTTTCAACTTCCAGTCACCAGCTTCATTAGCATCTAATGAAAGAGTCATCCTATCCTTTGGAACTTTGAAGCAAGGCATTGACTTCCCTGTAGCTTTGAAAGTCTTAGATGGTATCTTCTTTCGATAGGAGACTGTTTTGTCCACATGGAAAAGCTATTGTTTAATGTAGCCACCTTCATTAATTATGTTAGCTACATCTTCTGGATAACTTACACAGGCTTCTTTTATCTTGCATTTTATTTTATGGATATGGCTTCTTTCCTTAAACCTTATAAACCAACTTCTGCTAGATTCAAACTTTTTTTCTGAAAATTTTTTACACTTTTCAGAATTGTACAGAGTTAGAGCCTTGCTCTAGTTTAGAATATGGCAGAAGAAAATATCTTCACTGGTTTTATCTTTAATCCAGAAGATTAAAACTTTCTTCATATAAGCAATAAGGCTGTTACACATTCTTATCCTTTGTGTATATTGTTGTAGCACTTTTAATGTCCTTCATTAACAGTTTGTTTGTATTCAAAATTTGGCTAAATGTTTGGCACAAGTATGGGCTTTGCCCTATCTCAGCTTTAAACATACCTTCATCATTAAGCTCAATCATTTCTAGTTTGATTTTAAGTGAGAGACATGAGACCCTTCCTTTCCTTTGAACTCTTAGAAGCCATTTGTAGGGTTATTAATTTGCTTAACGTCAGTATTGTTGTGTCTCAGGAAACAGGGAAGCCTGAGGAGACAGAGATAAATGGGAAACAGCTGGTTGGTGGAACAGTCAGAATACACACAACACTTATCAGTTCTGTTTACCATATTATATGCATGCATTTTGTGATGTCCCTCAAAAAATTACAATGGCAATATCAAGAAGCAACGGCCACAGGACACCAAAACTGATATAATAAAAACAAAAATGCTTGAAACTTTGTGAGATTTACCAAAATATGCCACAGTGACACATTGTTAGCATGTGTTAGCTATTGGAAAGATAGCATTGGTAGACTTGCTTAATGTAGGGTTGCCACAAGGGTTCAGCTTGTAAAAAAAAAAGTCCATATTTGTGAAGCACAATAAAACAAAGCAAAATGACAGAAGGAATACGTGTGTGTGTGTGTGCGTGGTGTGTGTGTGTGTATATATAAATATGAGAGTTAACAAAAGATAACTCAGAGCTGACTTGATAAATACACTGATTAAAAAAACAAACTTCATCTGAATTAAATTTAAAAGAGTTTAAACTCTTGAGCAATGGACAACTCACAAATTGTGCAGCCTCCTGAGTCAGAGTAGGCTCTGAGACTCCAGTGCAGTCACGTGGTGAAATAAGATTTATGGAAAGAAAAGGAAAGTGACATACAAAAAGTGGAAGTGAGGTAAAGGAACAACTGAATTGGTTAAAGCTCAGTGCTTACCTTATTTAAACAAAGCTCAAATAACTGGCTACATTTATTTGGCCAAAACGTGGCGACTGGCCCAAGTGTAGGCTATGGTCTGTTTACACCTCCACTTGCCAAAGTTCATGATGTACAGAGAAACTTTTAGGCCAAACTTAAAACATGTAGGAGGTAGCTTTAGGCTGAACTTGATTTAACACTACACAAGTACACTGAGAATATATCATAAACCTTTGTTTTTAAATTAAGTCTATTGTCTTATCAAATTTTAATATCCCAATAGAGCATCATGATTGTGAAAATGATAAAATTTAAGTACCTTGTTAGTATTAAAAATTGCTTTAATATAAAAAATTTAATTGTCCATGTATTGTTCTAAAAATATAAAGCACAATGCAAAGCAATACTTATTCAAGTAAATTTCCTAAGACTTGATAAAAACAGGGATCGCCTCTTACCTTGCAAACAAAAACTGCCCCCTCATCCCCTCCGAACTCAGCGTGTCAGAATTTTACTACAGGTAGATGCAGACAAGAACAACTATAGAATAAACCGGAGAGGAAATAGAAAACCTGAATAGACCCATAAAAAACGGAAAGACTGAATTACTAATCAAAAGACAACCCACCAAAAAAAAAGCCCAGGCCAAGAAGGCTTTGTTTTAGAATTCTACAAATCATTCAAGGAAGAAAACATAACAATTCTTCAAAAAACAATCCTCCTAATAATAGAAGAGGAGAAAACACTACCAACATATTTCATTGACCCCTTCTACTAAAACCACAAAAAACACATCACAAAAAATGAAAACTACAGATCAACAGCTCTTGTAATTATAGACACAAAATTCCACAATAATATCTTAGCAAACTGAATATAAGAACATACAAAAGTTATTATATACCACAAATAAGTGAAATTAATCTCAGCAATGCAAAGTTACTTTAACATTTAAATTATTGATAGCACCTGTTGGGAAACTCCTCTGCCCTCACAGGCTCAGAAGTGCCTGATCTTACTGCCTGGCTTCTTCCTGATGTCAGTGCCCACTTGATCTCATAGCAAAGTTGGGACTGAGCCTAGGCACCATGAGTGACAGCAGGAGGCAGACTGATTCCTGGGCAAAAGGGGGTGGGTCCCCAGTGATCCCCATCTTCAGGACCGGGGAAAGCCTGAAGGCTGGGGACTAGGTTGCCTGTCTGTCCCATGGACCGAAGTGGGAACTTGTGGTGCCTCTTCTGGGCCCACCCATGGCTGCTCACAGACCAATTAACTTGCACTTTCTCCCTAGTGAGGCCCATTAAAACTATGGGTTCAGCCATAGCTGAGCAGATGACAATATGACCAGCTGCAGAGAGGAACTACCTTCTCAGTGGAGAGCTTCTGAGACCTGCAGAGACATCGGGACAACAAGCTGCAGAGAGGAGCAACCCACTCTAAGGCCTCTTTTCAGCTAGGAGCTGAGCAGACATCAGGACAACCAGCTGCAGAGAGGAAAGTCGGAGAATTCCTCGAGCCCAGGAGTTCGAGACCAGTCTGGGCAACATACAGAGACCCTGTGTCTACAAAAAGTAATAATAATAATAATAAATAGAAGTGTGCAGAGGTGCATGCCTGTAGTCTTAGCTATTCTTGAGGCTGAGGCAGGAGGATTGATGGAGCCCAGGAGTTTAAGGTTACAGTGAGCTGTGATCACACTTCCACACTCCAACCTGAAAGGCAGAGTGAGACTATTTCAAATAAAAACAAAAAGGAAGAAGAAGAAGAAAGAGAGGAAAACTCAAGCAAGGAGAGAAGTTCAGATGCTCCAACCCCTAAAATATAATAATAACTAACTTTCTAATATGTACAACACAACTATGATCTTTGAATACTTATGAAATACTCTTTATTTTTTTATTCTACGTAGCTTTTTATAATTACCTATACTATTTTTGGCTGCAAACCTGAAGTTATTTTTAACACTCACATAAAAACTAAATTTTAAAAATTTGTAAATTATGCACTAGTTTATGATGATTTCCTGGTAATTCCAAAATCAGTACCTCATTATGGTACTAGGCATGTACCAAATGGCTTAGCTATAGACAACCATATTAAACACTGCTGTCAATGCTTTGGAGTATGTCATCGAAGATTTAACAGTCTTTGAATAAAATTTAGCATCATTGCATTTTAGAATTTTTTTCAACAGCACTATTATTTATAAGATGCCAATCATTCTTTCTCATATCTAAAAATGTCCATGCTAACAAATGTAATAATATTATGGATATACATGAAAAATGCCACTTGAAATTTTTTATCTTTATATGTAATTCCTAAGCAGAATTAATTTATTTCTCATACAGAGAGGATTACATAGATTTGCTTTGTTTGTAAATCAAAAGATGTCAGACTGTAACTATGGAACAAGTGGATATAAGTAAACTGTCTCCCATTTCATTGTTTTAAAAATAAAAAAGCTTAATAATAAATTTGGAAGAAGAGAGTGAGTATAGTACAAACATTAATTTAAAAAGTGTGGACCATTATTAATTTGTTACTCTTCTTCACACCAGAATTATGACTGTCTAACAATTAAATACTTGAATTTTTCATTTATTATCTCAATTGTTTAAGTCACTATGTATGAAATATTATGATTGCATTTAAACTGATCTAATGTAAAAATAAGTCCAGGAAATATAGTTGTTCTGCTTACTTCAGTCTTCTAGTAGTTCTCATTAATTAACCTGTCCTATTCTGTTTTCTTTGTCTGCTATATAGAAGGCATTTAGTAGGGTTCTCAGTCTTTTTAGAATTCTAACAAATATGGTTTAATTTGAATTTGACTCAGAACAAAGTATTTTCTTTATATAAATGATCACATGGAAATTTGATGACAGGAAATCAGATACCTTAGTATCAATACTTCGCTGTATAGTGGGTAGTCCAGAATGGCCTTGGTGAGACTCTGAAGAACAAAGATTGAAAACATGGCTAACAGCCAATCATGATGAAAATACTTCAACAGAAAAAAAACAGATTCACCATTTATTATTTAAAAACTCAAAAATAAAATCTAGCATGTTTATATTTATGTTCCAGTCCTGGGGGAAAAATACAATTAATTACAACAGTTACCATTTTTTTTATACACAGTTACGTTCTTTATGGCTAGAACAAATTATCTTTATTTCTATTTCAACTGTAGTTACCTCTTAAACAATAAAAGTTCAATAATTTTCTAGGTTGTCTGTCTCCTAATTCAATCATTACAAACACCCTTTCTCCTTATGTAGGGATATTTCAGTTGCAACTGAAAAATAACAGCCTGTCTTTTATTTCCAGTGACAGCATTTTATATGGGAAAAAATCCCCAGTCTTTATCATGAAGTGGTAACACACTTCATACTGGAGTGTCGCCTATACTTCACTTTGGTGGTTTTAGTGGAAATGTTTATCAGAGGTTCTAGGCTAGTGCATAAGTTTTAAAATAGTCAAAAATGAAATAGGAATTGCTGAAGATGGTAACAACACATTATAAAGAAGACTGAGAACAAAGTTGAAGCAGGGAAACATAAATATTATTAGAGTACTGTCTAGTTTTCACCATGTTTATGCCAGTCTTTCAGCATGAGAGCTCATCAAATGTTATTTTTCTGGATAAATTTTATTTGGTATATATAATGTATACGAGATGCTATCATCAGATGCAAATATGTAGTGAAAAGGTTGCTATAATGAAGCAGGTAAGCATGTGTCAATCATCTCACATTAGTTACTCAATTTTTTTATTGTTTTTAAAACTCTTCCAAAATGCTTTATTTTCAGTAAATTGGCATGACATAATCAATCACTAGTTCCTCTTCTATTTAATTATAAGGAAATAATTATGATGTTAATATTTTTAATCCCATCACTGATGAATTGTAAACCACTACGCCTTTCAAATTTACCTGTTTAAAACAATTGAAAAAAATAAGATACTAGTATAAAAGTGACCATATTCTTTGTTATTGTGGTTGTGGTTGCTTTTGTCTCATTTGAAATAATTATAAAATAACGGGCTTGAAAGAGATAAATTGGAATATTTCTGTTTAACAGCCAAAATGTCTGAAACCAGAAATTTGTTGTTTTTAAATTATTTCAGTACACACAATAATTTTAGTTATGCTATTTTATTAATAGTTACATTAACAAAAATTAAATAATTTTAATATTTACTATTATGTTTTTAATATTAATTTTAATAAACTCATTCTGGTGTTGAAAAATAAAGATAATTTTTGAATAGTTAACACATATTGAATGTATATGAAATGACATGCATTGTATTGGTTCTTTGTATTATGTAACTTCTTGATTATAGTTTTTTACAATTGTATTAAAAACATAAATCAGGATTAATGTCACCCTCTGAAAAACACAGTCTTCCCACTGTGATCTTTAAATAACAAGAACAGAAGTTACCTCCATTGCTATTGCTACAGTGCTATGCATTAACACTTCATAATTTTAACTTGGTAAGCATATACTTATATCCATCCTTATTATTTGTCTATTAGTCCATAATTATTTTAACACTAAATGCCTCAAAGCATTCAATGCAATGTCTCAAAGTAAAATATTGAACTCTTCTTAAATTCTAAAATCAAAATACAACAAGAAAAAACGGTGATAGTAGCAAACATTTACTAAGAATCTCTTTATGATGAGAATAATTTCAGCAAGTATTCTAAGAACCATTGCATGGCTACTCACAATAACCAGATAAGAAAGATATATGATTTTTATTCATTCAATTTAACAGTAAAATCTAGGAAGAGATGTGCTTTTTTTACTCATAGTCAGCATATATATATATAATTGACTACAGTATATTTTTCAGTATTTCGTTATAAAATTTGCATACAACGAAATGCATGTATCTTCACTATACATTTTTTGAGTTTCAACAAATGCTTACACCTCTATAAACCCAAACCCATAAGACATTATTATGACCACACAAATGTCCCTTCATGCCTCTTTGCAGTCCAACTCAGCCCTTGCTTCCCAGAGGAGATTGTTTTAGAATATCTTATATATGAAATTATGCATTCAGTATGTACTCTTTTGTGGCTAGTTTCCACTCAGCCTAACATGTTTTGGATTCATCTGTATTGTTGCGTGTCACAGATGTATATGAGTATACTGCATATTCTGCACCTCGTTTGTTTATTCATTCTCCAATTGGTGGATACTTGGATTGTTTCTACAGTGTCTTGTGAGTGGGAGTTTTCACTGTTGTCATTTGTTTATGAAGTCTAATTTATTATTTTATTATTTTTTCTTTTATGCTTTTTCTGTAATCTGTCTAAGAAAGCTTTGCCTGCTGCCAAGTAATCAAGGGAGATGGCTCCTATTTTTCTCTAAAAGCTTTATGTTTGGGTTTGGTAATCCTTTTCTTTTGTTTTGAGACAGGGTCTCTCTCTCTGTTGCACAGGCTGAAATGCAGTGGTGACATTGAAGCTTACTGTAACCTCTGACTCCTAGGCTCTAGGGATCCTCCCACCTCAGCCTGCTGAGTAGCTAGGACTACAGGAACACCACAACACTAGGCTAATTTTTTAAGAAGTTTTTTGTAGAGACAATTTATTCTTTATTTTTAAAATTTTTTTTATTATACTTTAAGTTCTGGGATACATGTGCAGAATGTGCAGGTTGGTTACATAGGTATACATGTGCCGTGGTGGTTTGCTGCACCCATCAACCTGTCATCTACATTAGGTATTTCTCCTAATGCTATTTCTCCCCTACCCTTCTACCCCCTGACAGGCCCCAGTGTGTGATGTTCCCCTCCCTGTGTCCATGTGTACTCAATGTTCAACTCCCACTTATGAGTGAGAGCATGCGGTGTTTTATTTTCTGTTCTTGTGTTAGTTTGCTGAGAATGATGGTTTCCAGCTTCATCCATGTCCCTGCAAATGACATGAGCTCAGCCTTTTTTATGGCTGCATAGTATTCCATGGTGTATATGTGCCACTTTATTCAACCTATCATTGATGGAAATTTGGGTTGGTTCCAAGTCTTTGCTATTGTGAACAGTGCCACAATAAATGTACGTGTGCATGTATCTTCATAGTAGAATGATTTATAAGCTTTTGGGTATATACTCAGTAATGGGATCACTGGGTCGAATGATATTTCTTGTTCTAGATCCTTGAGGAATCACCACACTGTCTTCCACAATGGTAGAACAAATTTACACTCCCACCAACAGTGTAAAAGCATTCCTATTTCTCCACATCCTCTCCAGCATCTGTTATTTCCTGACTTTTTAGTGGTCACCATTCTAACTGGCATGAGATGGTATCCCACTGTGGTTTTGATCTGCATTTCTCTAATGACCAGTGATGTTGATCTTTTTTTCATATATTTGTTGGCTGCATAAACATCTTCTTTTGAGAAGTGTCTTTTCATATCCTTTTAATAAGACAGGTAGATGTCAGCTCAGGATTCAAACTGAGGCCATGTGCTTTCATACTTTTGACCACTAACCCACTGTTATAATGACAATACTAACTCCTGGTCAATGCCAACTTCTTATGAGCTTTGCCTTGACCTGAACCTTGTCATGGATTTGTCTCCTATCTCTAGTCCTTAAATTGCAATTTTCTGATAAATAAAAATTTACTTTTCCTGTTCTTTGCCCACATTTTAATAAAGTTGTTTTTTTTTAATTTGTTTATATTCATTATAGATGCTGGACATTAGAACTTTGTCAGAGGTATAGTTTGTGAACATTTGGTACCATTCTGTAGGTTTTATATTCAGAGTGTTCATAGTTTCTTTTGCTGTGCAGATGCTCTTTATTTTTACCAGATCCCATTTGTCATCATTTGTTTCTGTTGCAATTGCTTTTGGCATCTGCTTCATAAAAGCTTTGCCCATTTCTATGCATAGGATGGTATTTCCTAGCCAACAAGCATATGAAAAATGCTCAACATCACTAATTATTAGCAAGGACATGGAATCAACCTAAATGCTTATCAGTGGTAGACTGGGTAAAGAAAATGTGGTACACATTCAACATGGAATACTATGAAGCCACAAGAAAAGCAAGACTATGTCTTTTGCAGGAGGAATATGATGGAAGATGGAGCACATTATCCTTTGCAAATTAATGAACTAATGCAGGAAAAGAAAACCAAATACTGCATGTCCTCACTTGTAAGTTGGAGCTAAATGATTAGGACATATGAACACATAGAGGAAAACAACAGACACTAGAGACTTTCAGATGGTGGAAGGTTGGAGGAGGTAGAGGAGCAGAAAAAATAACTATTGGGTACTAAACTTAATACTTGGGTGACAAAATAATCTGTACAACAAACCACCATGACACAAGTTTACCTACATAACAAACCTTCACATGTACCCCAAACATAAAATAAAAATTAAAAGAAAGAATATTACTTTTTACTTTTTGATTGATTGTTTTAATATATGCGGAAAGTAGAGAGACTTTACAAGACATTCTGAAATAGACCATTCTCAAATGGTAGCATAAAAAGTTCCATGGAGGAAATTTCAAGGGAAACAGGAATAACTGGTGAAAATTGTTTTTTAAAACAACCATTTGGTGTCCCTGGCAATAATCCTAAAGACATATAATAAAGTAACATTCACTGAAGAAAATCCAGTAATTTGTAGTGAAAACAGCAAGTGTCTTTGGCATTTAAGCCACAACATGCTCATTTGCCCCCCCTCCTAGTTCAGTGACAGAAACTCCCTCTCTTCCAGGGAGGTGCTGATGCTACCACAGGGCTCTCACTCTTCAAAGCTCCCAGTTGAGTGTCAGGGTATGCAGTTGAGAAAAGGTGTCTCTCTGATTTTTTTATATATATAGACTCAGGCATATGCTCCAGAAGCTTAATTCTAGGCAAGTGTGGCTAAGAAGGGTCTCACATCTTTCATTCAGCCACAGTCATAACTCAGAGATTCAACTCAAGAACGGCACAAAGAATACTGAGTACCAAATAGCCATTGCCCCAGTCCACTCATAGGATGGAATTTCCGTGATGGGAGAGAAAAACTAAGAATAAAGGCCAGCAAAGGTGGCAGCCTGCCACTCCCACTGAGAGCTCCTTCTTATGGAGGTGCAATGCCGCTATTGGTGGCTTGCTGGAATTTTAAGCCAGTGGGTGCTCACCTGTGAGGTGCTGTGAAAGTGGGGCCTGCAGGCTGTATCTTCTCAGTCCCTTGGATTCAGCCTTTTTCCTAGGGATATGTATGTGGTTCTAATCTCCTAATTTGCCAAAGCTGCAGTTACTTTTGCCAGAAAGCCCACATAGCTAAGGTTCCAGGGTCACCTCGCATGCCTGAGTAGATGCTCTGCTGAGACTCCACCTTTTTCTGGCTGTCAGAATGAAGGCCCTGTTGATGTGAGTTCACAGGTAGACTTCTTGACTTGAGGGTTGCAAAGATTCTTGGGAGAAGTATGGTTTCCTGTGGTTGCACAATTACTCAATGCTTCCCTGGGAGGGTGGGGTTCCCCTAGCTGCTTGTTGCTCCCAGGTGGACCATTATCCTGTCCTGTTTTTCTTTAATCTCTGTGGGTCAAGTTATTTTCTTGATTATTCTCAATGCAAGTCCCTGGATGTTTCACTTGAAAGTGTTGTATTTACTTGCTCTTTTCATTACTCTCCATGAGAGCCATGCACACTAGTACCTTCTAGTCAGGCACCCTGAACATGTTTTCCAACTTTCATTCTTAATTCCTTTCTTCCATCCTCAGCATCATATCTTTCTTGGATGTCAAATTTTTAATTTTTTCGATCATGTTATTTTTCAGAAAAATAGAAATAATTATATTTTGGAACATAGAAAGTTCACTGATATAATTTGGCTCTGTCCCCATCCAAATCTCATCTTGAATTGTAGTTCCCATAATTTTCATATGTCCTGGGAGAAATCCAGTGGGAGGTAATTAAATCATAGGGGCGGTTACCCTCATGCTGTTCTTGTGATAGTGAGTGAATTCTCATAAGATGTGATGGTTTTATAAGGGGCTTTCCCTGCTATTGCTGATTCTTCTCTTTCCTCCATCCATGTGAAGAAGGATGTGTTTTCCTCCCCTTCAGTCATGATTGTAAGTTTCGTGAAGCCTCACCAGCCCTGCAGAACTGTGAGTTAATTAAACCTCTTTCCTCTATAAATTACCCAGTCTCAGGCAGTTATTAATAGCAGTGTCAGAAGAAACTAATACAGTAAATTGGTACCACTGAGAGTGGGGTGTTGCTGTAAAGATACCTGAAAATGTGGAAGTGTCTTTGGAAGTGGGTAATAGACAGAGGTTGGAACAGTTTGGAGTGCTCAGGAGAAGACAGGAAATTGTGAGAAAGTTTGGAACTTCCTAGAGACTTGGAGAGCTCAGAAGACAGAAAGATATGTACAAGTTTGGAACTTTCTAGAGACTTGTAAAACAGCTTTGACTAGGCCGGTCATGGTGGCTCATGCCTGTAACCCCAGCACTTTGGGAGGCAGAGGAGGGCAGATCATGAGGTCAGGAGATCGAGACCATCCTGGCTAATGCGGTGAAACCCCGTCTCAGCTTCCTTGGAACATACATTTCAGTGGGGACACGGTCAAACCATATCTTTCTGCCTCTGGGAACTCCCAAATTTTATGTGCTCACATTTCAAAACACAATCATGACTTCTCAACAGTCCCCCAAAGTCATAACTCATTCTAGTATTAACCCAAAAGTCCAAGTCCAAAGTCTCATCTGAGACACAGCAAGTATCTTCCACCTATGAGTCTGTAAAATCAAAAGCAAGCTAGTTACTTCCTAGATACAATGGAGGTATAGGCATTGGATAAATACACCCATCCTAAATTAGAGAAATTGGACCAAATAAAGGGGCTACAGTCCCCATTAAAGTTCAAAATCCTATAGGGCAGTCCTTAAAATGTAAAGTTCCAAAATGATATCCTTTGACTCCATGTCTCACATCCAGGTTAAGTTGATGCAAGAGGTGGGCTCCTATGGCCTTGAGCAGCTTTGTCCCTGTGGCTTTCCAGGGTACAGCCCCTATCCAACTGCCTTCTCTGGCTGCTGTTGAGTGCCTGTCTTTTTCAGGTACATGATGCAAGCTATCATTGGATCTATGATTCTGGAGTCTAGAGGATGGTGGCCATCTTTTTACAGCTCCACTCAGCAGTACCCCAGTGGGGACTCTGACACCACATTTCCCTTTTGCACTGCCCTAGTAGAATTCTCCATGAGGGCTCCACCCCTGCAGCAAACTTTTGCCTGGACATCCAGGCATTTCCATACATTCTCTGAAATCTAGGCAAAGATTCCCAAACCTCAAGTTTTGACTTCTATGCACCTGCAGGCTCAGCACCACATGGAAGCTGCCAAAGCTCGAGGCTTGCACACTCTGAAGCCATGGCCTGAGCTTTAATTTAGTCTCTTTTAGCTATGGCTGGAACAGCTGAATTACAGGGCACCAAGTTGCTAGGCTGCACACAGCAGGGTGTCTCTTGGCCCAGCCCAGAAAATCATTTTTCCCTCCTGGGCCTCTGAGCCTGTGATGGGAGAGGCTACCATGAAGGGCTCTGACATACACTGGAGACATTTTCCCCATTGTCTTGTTGATTAACATTCAGCTCTTCATTATTTATGCAAATTTCTGCAGCAGGGTTGAAGTTCTCCCAAGAAAATGGAGTTTTCTTTTCTATTGCATCACTAGGCTGCAAATTTTCTAAAATTTTATGCTCTGCTTCCTCTTGAATGCTTTGCTGCTTAGGCATTTCTTCTACCAGATAGCTTAAATAATCTCTCTCATGTGGAGCTACCCTCTCCAGGGCCTCCCCTCTGCTGAGAGCTGAAAACTGATGGGACTACCTGCCTACAGAGAGGAGCTAACCACTGCATACCTCCTCTGAGCTGTTCTAACGCTCCATAAAGCTCCTCTTTGTCTTGCTCACCCCTCACTTTTCTGTGTACCTCATTATTCCTGGCTGCATGACAAGAACTTGGGCAAAGGTGCCACTGGCCACAGATGTTTCTGAGCAGAAAAGCAACACCCCAAAGATCCTGTAACACTTTCAATTAATGTATTACACAATATAATTATAATGAAGAATGAGAAATTCATTATCATTTCCATGAATGCACAAAAAAATTAATGAAATCCAGTATCTTTCATCATAACAATATTCAATAAAGTAGGAATAGAGGGAAACTTCCTCAAACTGTTCCCTGACAGAACAAGGTCCACCTGCTTGTTCTCATGGTCCAGTAACAAGAAGCAGACAAAGTCAGAAAGAGGGGAGTTTATTTATGCAATTGGTTACAGGGAGAAGGTTGCAGTAACTCACCAGATCAATTCAAAGTTACAAGTGTTTTTCTAGTGCTTAGATACACTTTAAGCTGCATGCCTATGTGTGGGAGTGCACCTACAAGAAGGAGTGATTTATTCAATCTCCATCTAATCTTATGAGGTGTATGTGTAAAAATGCTATTATTATTCTATCAGACTGTAGGGGCTGTGAAAACCAAGGTGGGGTCTGAATGGGTTTGTTTTCTCATCCTAGTCCTTGTACTCAGGTAAAACTTTGTCTAGTTCTTTAATGCTTAACTTATGGATTCATTAAAATTATAGTTAAGGATTAGTGAAAACTGACTGCTCTAATTGTTGAGGGAAACCTAGCCTGACACAAACCTGATAAGTGACATCTATAAGAAAACACATAGCTAGCATTATACTTAATGTAGAAAGGCTAAATCCACTCTCTCTACTCCTAATCAACATCCCACTAGAGGTTCTAGTTAAGACAAATAGACAAGAATATGAAATAAAGTAATCTATATAGGGAAGAAAAAATTTAAACTATTGGCATATGACATGCTTTTATATTGAGAAAACATTTAGAAATCTACTAGAAAAACTTTAGACTTGAGAGATGAAGACAGCTGGACTTCTGGGTAGATTGGGAACTTGGATAACTTTTCTGTCTTACAAGAGGATTGTAAAACGCACCAATCAGCACTCTGTAGCTAGGATTCTAAAACACACCAATCAGCTCTCTGTAGCTAGCAAGCCGATTGTAAAATACACCAATCAGTGCTCTGTAAAAACACACCAATTAGTGCTCTGTAGCCAGCAAGAGGATTGTAAAATGCACCAATTAGTGCTCTGTAAAATGCACCAATCAGCAGTCTGTAAAATGAACAAACCAGTGCTCTGTAAAACGCACCAATCAACAGGATTCTAAAAGTAGCCAATCGCAGGGAGGACTGAAAAAAGAGCACTCTGATAGGACAGACATGGAACATAGGAGAGGCCAATAAGAGAATAAAACCTGGCCACCCCAGCCAGCAGTAGCAACATGCTTGGGTCCCCTTCCACGCTGTGGAAGCTTTGTTGTTTTGCTCTTCACAATAAATCTTGCTGCTGCTCACTCTTTGGGTCCGTGCCACCTTTAAGAGCTGTAACACTCCCTGTGAAGGTCCACAGCTTCATGCTTGAAGTCATTGAAACCACGAACCCACCAGCAGGAAGAAACTCCAGAAACATCTTGGGGGCTCATCCAGGATGTTGCCACACACTGAGTGCCATCAGACCCCTTTTGCTTGGTATTCTGTCCTATTTTTCCTTAGAGTTTGGGGGCTAGTCACCGGGCACCTGTCGGCCAGTTAAAAGTGACTAGCTCAGCCACCAGACTAAAGGCATGAGTGTCAGGCTTTCTGGGAAAGAGCTCTCTAACAACCCCCAACTCTTTAGAGGCAGGAGTGTTGGTTTGCTGGGAACCAGCTTCTGCTTTTCCTGTACTTCTGGGCTGAGCTGAGAGTCAACGGACAGGAAAGCCATTCAGCTCCAGGGTCCTGAAAAAAGTTGGTTGACCCTGCAGCTATAAGCGTAACTCTCAAAGTTATGTCTCCCAAGCAAGACTCGCCCATCTATCCTATCTATCCTGACCCTTGCCTCCTGGGTCCTAATGCCTGTCAAACAAACTTCTTCTTGCCTCTTTTCTCCGAGGCTAGTCCCACTTCTAAACACCAAATCTAGCTTTGTTACCTATGCAACAAAGCTGCACATCCTGCATATGTTCCCCAGAACTTAAACTTTGGAAAAAAAGAAAAAAAGAACAGGAAAAGAAAATTTAGGTTCCCTAGAAGACACTACCTCCAAAAAGCCTTCATGTCAATTTCCTTGGCCAAGGATGCTCTAGGATACCTCCATCTTACCTCTTAGGCAACAGGAGAAGAACTTAAGGAACAGCCAGATCACTTTCCTCCCAGCTTAATACATTACTGACTAAATTAAAGTCATACTTTATTTTAAATTAAGAGGATTGGTCACGTGTGTGGCTCATGCCTGTACTCCCAGCACTTTGAGAATCCCAGACTGGTGGATAGCTTGAGCTCAGGAGTTCCAGACCAATCTGTGGAGCACTGGACAACTCTGTCTCTACAAAAAATATAATAAAATAAAAACAAATGCAGACCGAGCACACTGGCTCACACCTGTAACCCTAGTTTTAAAAAAAAATGAAGGAATGAGGTGCATGTGTCATTGTTAAAATGTCTATGTCTCTTTTTATCTGTTTTTGCTTTATGTATGTGAGGTTTTGATGATGGGTGCATATGTATTTATAATTTTTATATATTCATAATGAGTTGACACTTTCATAATAAAAAATGTTCCTCTTTAATAACATTGAACAAGAACCTTTAATGTCTGAAATTACTATAGCCACTCATTTATTTTTGTTACTATTTGCATTGTATATACTTTTACATCATTTTATTTCCAACTGCTTACATCTGTAAGTTTATACAGTGTCTCTCTAGGTAGCATATACTTGGAATTTTTTAAAATATTGTCTGTAATATTCAACTTCTAATAGGATTTTTTAATTAATTTATATTTAGTATTGCTCATACAGCTGGATTTATGTGTTGTTTGTCTTTTTTAATACATTATATTTTTATGTTCTTCTTTTACATTAATTTATGTTTTAAATGTAACATTTCCATCTCTTTAATAATTTTTATATTTTTTCCGTTATTTACTTTGTGAGTAATTGAGGACTTGCCATATATACACATTAAATTATTAGAATAAACTTTAAACTCATACTACCTTACTTCCTATATAAAAATATTACCTAGACATAACTCCATTCCCTCTTGTAATTTGTGCGACTATTGTTATATTACATTTACATGTGTTACAAACCTCACACTACATTATTATCACTTTATATAATTTTATGTCTTTTCAGAAGCAAAAAATAATTAGAAAGCAGATATTTGTTTATATCATTGGTCACAATTTCTTTTTACTTACCATTTCTGATTCTCTCTTTTTTTTGTATTCAGGTTACCATTTGTTTTTATTTTTACCCCAATACAGTTTTCACAAAACTATGGGTTGGTTTGGATTCAGAAAGACTCTTTTTATCTGTCTGTCTCTCTCTAGTTTTGTATAATCAGCTAATTTGCATCTTTCATAAAGCTATGTTCTTCTTTATATTAATAACTGCCTACCAACAAAACTTTCCATATTTTGAAAGTACTCTTAGGCTTGAACTTCTACATATTGATTCAAGTAAAGTAAATTACTCTTGCAAGTGCTTTACAACACTCTTTTGAATGGTCTGACTCCTTCCTTGGGCAAAATCTCCCATTGGTGTTAGAACTGGAGGGCAGGGACAATGGAACACTTCTCTCTGAGTGACATCTGTGCTCAAACAGAAAAATAATAGCCCTTACGTTTAGTTTGCATCTCCATCATGGAACCACCATCCTATAAATAAGTTTTGGCTATAATTATTTGGTACTCAGATTCTCAGTATGCCATTCCTAAGTAAAACTTTTGCTTATGACTGTGGTTGGATAGAAGAAGAGATAACCCGTTTGACTTAACTAGCCTAGAATTTACCCTCTATAACACATCGATTGGGTGTGAGTGGAAGAGTTTAGGATGATTTCCTCTCTACAGAAGATACATCTCCCTCTTGTTGGAGTTTTGTAGATTTGAAGCCCTATCATCTTTGTCTGCACCTATCTGGAATGGAGATTTAGTCACACTGAATTAGGAGGGTGAGTGAGGAAAAATAAGGTTATTGTTTAAATGCCACAGGCTCTTACTATTTTACCAAGATTTGGCAGAAGTTTTTGAATTTTTTTTCCACATATGATGAGGATAATTCCTAGTATTTTCAAATAGTTTTATTTTGACAATAATTTTTTACTAGTTATTCTTATACTGGGGAGCTGGTTCATGGGTTCATAGCATTTCTCACACTATCAATCAGGAAGGGGCTACATCAATGTTTTCTCCTAACACTTTTTGTTCCTTCTTGTGATAAATTTGCTTAACATAGTTACTAACTCAGCATCCAATTTTAGGCCTGACGTAAGTTGTTTAACACCTAGTGATAGCAGTTTTTCTTTTCTTTCTCATGTGTTGTTTGTGATATAGTTCATTTGTTTCTTGTTCCACTGACCCCAAAACCAAGCACACTTTATAACTGATGATCATGATATAACCTATTGTCAACATGAGAGTTGTATAATTAGCCTCCTCCCTTTACATATTTTTTAAGTTTATAATTACATGTTCTTTAAATTAGCCATTCTAAAACTCCCTCATAAAATCTAAGGGTTAACACTCACAGAACTTAATAAAGGAATGGCTTCATAGGCCTTCTGACTCTTATTTTCACACCGCTTGTTGAATTTCCTCCTTCCTATGAATGCCTTGTTAGTTTTCTGTCATCAACCCAACCCCCCTGGACCTGGAACAAATTTCTTTTATTTGATGCATTTTGGTTTTACTTCCTCAATGTGTCTTACCTAACACATAAACCTGAACCCACTTCTCCTCTCTTCTGGTCAGCACTCTCCTAAGGAGTGGCTATCTCGGCTATGGCCAGTCTCAAGAAAGATACTTCAATACCAAATGAGAAAGAAACTACAACAGTATATATCACAACACTTCTGTGTATATTTGAGAAAATATTAATTATGTAATTAAAGTAGAATTTCTATAAATCAGATAATTGTTAATTATGAACAAATACCATATATGAAATAAAGAAGCAACACTCTTGGTTGATGTTAGAAACTTCTTTATATTTTATTTCATTCTATTTTATTTTATATGCTTTGCATTACCTAATGGGCTATAGAATGATGAAAATACATAATGTCAAGCTGCAGAAGCTGGAGAATGGGGAATGTGACATGACTGTCTAATGGATTTAGAGTTTCCTTTTGTAATAAAGAAAATGCTCTAGATGTAGATACTGGTGATAGTGGCACAGCATTGCATATGTATTAAATGCCAACAAATTGCAAAAATTAAGTGGTTAACATGGTGATTTTTATGTTTATAATTTCTACCTTAATTGAAAAAGAAAGATGGTCAGATTTGACCAGATTTGGCCCAGAGGCCATTGTTTGCCAGCACTTGGTTGATATGATAAATTTAATTTCCACATATTTGAAATAGTAAATGCTGTTTTTAAAAATTTATATTAGAAACGTGTCATGTTTAAAAATAAATTCATACAATTATTTGAACAATAACATTATTGTGGAAATTTTTCTCTGTCTAATAATTATGATAATTAGTTTACATTATATTTTGCTATATATGTCACTGTATTTGGTGCTTTGCCATATTAATGAATTTATTCTCTTAACAACTTCATGAGGTTGATAATGTCATCATAATCCTTATCATTTCATTGATGAGGGAGCTGAGGCATTGAAAGGTTAATTAATGTGCCCAATCCCACATCATTTTGTAGTGGGATTTGGCAGTGACTTGAATCAAGCCATCTTTGGGTCCAAAGTGGAAACTCTTAACCACCATGTTATGCTGACTCTTCTATCTGGGTTACAGTTAGTTTTAAAATATAACATCTACATTTTCCCATTTATGTAGCTATATATTAAAAGTAATTTATTACAAATGTAAAATATATAGAAATATTGGTACCACCGAATAACAAATTGCCCTTAAATTTAAGCCATAAAACTACAATATTTAATTATCTCTTACAGTTTAGGCGTTGGCTTGGAACAATTATGTGTTTTTTCCACATAGTTTCTAAAACTATCAGGATTTCTTAGTCTATGTGATATATATGTATATCATTTATTTTGTTTTTCCACAAAATGTTATTTATCATAGGGACTTCAGATATGGCACCAAGCTTTACATTTAGTTGAGGAGGTATGGGTAGTAGCAAGATAGAAAGAGACGGAGATGGAGAAATAGAAAAGAGACAGAGACAAGACAAAGAGACAAAGAAGGAATGTATGCTTTTCTAAGAGAGCCTTGAAAGTTAAGCTATATCACTTCTACTGCATTCTCTTTGTTGAAACAGCCACAAGGTTTGCCAAAGTTCAAAGAAAAACAATATGACTTGACAGAAGTATTGTCAAAGTATTTGAATTATATCTCAAAATCACCATATATAAAACCTGTTGAAGTACGCAGCAGCAGTCACTAAGTTACTGTAATATTTATTGTATATTGACATAGAAATCAGAAAAATTACTAAAATTTTGTGAATTTAGATTTCTATAACTGCTAATATTTTTTAAAACTTTTAAATATATTTATTTATAGATGTTTAAATATAAAATAGATGTTCACAAATGGGCCCCACATAGAGGAAATAAATACTATCCCAGAAATATCTTGAAGATATTGACTTATAGCCATTTAAGTGCTGGAGGAAACATCCTGTTCATACATGTGCTTACGTGCAAGGATTTCTGCATGACAGATTTCTAGATGTAGAACTTCAGTTTCAAATGATATATTTAAATTTATTTGAAAAGATTAATTTACATTATACTTCTTCAAGAATAGATTTCTCAGGTTTTTATAGGTTGCAAATATTTTGTAGGATAATGATTTATTGACCTCATTTTTGTTTTCTTAAACATCAATAACTTTTGTCATTTTTTATAATTATTATCCATTTTTCATTGAATTTCCTGTTTACACACACCATCAAATTTCATATTGGACTATATCCCTCATACTTCACTTAAAGTTTGTCAGAAATTTCCAGTATTTTTACCAAAAAAAATCGTTATTAAAAGCTGGTGATTAAGAATCACTGACATTCAGGTGTTTGGTATTGTAGTTGGAATTTCTGTGAAATGGGCCAGAGACTCCCATTTGTAATACAGAATTATACAGTAAATGGTTACATAGCTGAATGATCATATTTCTCAGGTCAAGGTTTAGGTAGGACACATTTTGCCCTGAAATCACACAGCTAAATTGATGTGCTATTTGTAACTGGGTGTGAGGAATTCTCATCATCCCTTTACTATGTCTCACAGGGAGTGCTTGCACCTTAGTGGGAGAGGCTTCCAGGCCTTTCTCCAGAGGAGTTATGGTAACTGTCTTGAGTAGCTTTCTCACATTATATTCAACTCTTGGTGAAGATGTGCTTGCCTGGAATTGATTGACAATTATTCTGACTTGTGGTTCCCAGTCTATGCCAATTTTTAAATTTAAATATTTTCAAATGTAATGATTGGGGTAAAACTTTTTCTTAAGTGTTCCTTACAAATGAAGAAAGAAAATATTGACTGTGCAGACCACAAATTGCTGAGTATTTTTTAAAATATGATTTTTAATCTTAAGACCTCAATGTCAACACGAGAGTCATTGTAGTACTATTCCAGGTAATACATGGTATATTCAGGTATTGCATGTGATTGCAGTAACTTGTAGCCACATTTAATGTAACTTGTATTCAGTGTTTTGTCTCACTGGCCTGATGCCCAGAGCCTTCTTCATCTACCCAGTGTTAAAATAATATATCCTCTGTTTACAGATTCATCACTGATGTGGGCTATTTTTTTCCCATTCTGTGAAAACTTTACAAAAGTAATACAAGATCAATGCAAGAGCCGAGCACGGTGGCTAACACCTATAATCCTTGCACTTTGGGAGGCCGAGGTGGGTGGATCACCTGAGGTCAGGATTTCAAGACCAGCCTAGCCAATATGGTGAAAACCCATCTCTACTAACAATACAAAAAAAAAAAAAAATAGCCACGTGTGGTGGTGAGTTCCTGTAATCCCAGATACTCGGGAGGCTAAGACAGGAGAATCTGTTGAACGTGGGAGGTGGAAGTTGCAGTGAGCCAAGATCGTGCACGGCACTCCCACATGGGTGACAGAGCAAGACCCCATTTCAAAAAAAAAAGATCAATGCAAGAAATTTTATAAACATATGAAAAGTTTTAAAAAGAAAATAAAATGCTCCTATAATTTCTGTCCCAGAGGCATTACCAATGTAAAAATGGTATATGTTCATTATGGTTTTTATTTTATTTATATAATATAATGTACATATGTGACATTTATTAAGAAAATTTTAATATTATTGCATGTACCTTTTCATCTTAAAATAAGTTGACATTTTGCTATATTTGTCATTTAGATCCTCAGTTTCCAGCTAAACTTGTATTATGGGTGCCAGTGTAATTAAATAACAATATTTGTTTGATAAAATGATTGTGATGGTATGACATACACAGAGTATAAGTATTCCTTAATTTAAGATGTTTGGATTACTTCCAATGTTTATATTATGAATATCCTCCATAAATATTGAATATATACATCTTGATTTATTGTTTTCTCTGCATGCTTTTATATAACATATTATGACTCCAATGCATTTTTAAAACACTTGGTACTTTTTGCCAAATATCTTATTCTTTTAAAATATACAGAAATTTTAAAAGAAACTCATATTCAATTGAAAAGCAAGCAATTAGGGGTAAAGTAACAATTGATTTATGTAATAAAGAATTAGAGAACAGGTTTCACAACTATTGACTTGGATTCAAATCTTCTTTCTGCAAGCTAATAACAGCTATTATCAGTAATTATCATGAGTGTACTACTAGTCATTCTTTTTCTTGTTCTCCTTCTCCACCTACTATCTTTGCCTTCCTAATGGCACTATCATTTTCCTTAATGAGAATGGGAAAACCTTTCAAGAATAGGGTTAGATAGGGGCCAGGCATCGTGGCTCATGCCTGTAATTTCAGCACTTTGGGAGGCCAAGGCGGGAGGATCACTTGAGGTTATGAGTTCAACACCAGCCTGGCCAACATGGCGAAACTCCATCTCTACTAAAAATACAAAAAGTAGCTGGGTGTGGTGGCCCACTCCTGTAATCTCAGCTTCTTTGGAACATAGAATATGTGTGTGTGTGTGTGTGTGTGTGTGTGTGTGTGTGTGTGTGTTACGTAGTTTTGCTTTTCTTGACCAGATATGCATATCATTATGCATAGAATATATGTCCACTTGAAATTCCCTCTTCCCATTTCAGTAACCGCAGGTAAAAGGAAATTCTCTCACAGTGGTATCATTTTGGTGTGTGGAAGGGGGGTGGTACAGTCCAAAATAATTATTCATCTTACCAATCATAAGTTTTTCATGTCCGTGAGTCTTGGGGTTTTCTCCTTCTCTCTTGAGATCTGGTGAATTCAGAGTGACATTTGTGTATTTGGATAGCTACTAGTTGTACTTTTGTGGGGGAATTGATGTGGGGTTTTTAAAATTTTATTATTTTGTTGACATCACAAAATGCCAGCAAATTGACACTTGATATTGTTGAAATAGTTTTATGAGTTTGCAAACCATTATGTTTTTAGAATTTGATGTCTATTAAATATTAAATGAGCTGCACATTTCTCACTTAAATGTTCTTTATAATTATTTGGTTGTGTGCTTTTTCTAGTAAATAATTATTATGTACTGAAGCCATATGTTTCTAACACAAACTTGAACATTTCTATTCTAAAATGCACCTCAGAAAATAGGGATGATATAACTATATATATGTCAACTTCAAAATTTTATTTTAGAAGTATACATAAACTATATTATTCTATGTGGCATTGCATCTTTATAATGAAGAAAGTTTTTCCTCTGTAGGAAATGGAAGAATTTGTCCAGAGCTCTGATGAGGATGGTGTTGTTGTGTTTTCTCTGGAGTCAGTTGTGCAAAACCTTACAGAAGAAAAGGTTGATCTTATCACTTCAGGCCTGGCTCAGATTCCACAAAAAGTCAGTAGAACCTCCAATCCTTATAAGAAGCTATTCACACAATGGAGAAAGTATGGCTTTCCATTTGGAATTTGAATCTCATTTTTCAATTTGCATAACAGGCATTAGATTTACATAACAATTTGGAAAGCATTATGGTTGTGTATGTGGACACAACTTATTATTTGCCTAGTGATCTTTTCTATTGCTTTAGTAACATATCCCTTGCTTGTCATTTGTTAATAATAAAATAAAAATAGTGCATTAAGTCCCTATTCCACATTGCAGGATTTGAAATCTTGAGACATATTCTGATGACTCCAAAGGAAACATTTTAAATACGTTAGCTCAAATGAACATAAAAATTGGGGAATGATATAAGAAAGAGAAGATTCATGCTCAATAGTATTCTCCACGTATTTGATTGTATAGGAACTCTATTCAGTGTATTTGAACATAAAAGTAGAAGCATAGATTTATGTAGTCTTTCTAATAAACTAGAGTTTTCCTATAGTTAAAAGGTAATTATGATTTTAATATTATAGTCTAACAACCTGCATGTAATTCTTTATGATATTCAATTAATTTTGTTATTACTGTAATTCTAGTTTTCCTCTCTTTAGTTAGTGCTATATATACACTAGCCTAGAGGTTTTTTTTTTTTTAATTTTATGTTTAGTTAAATTTCAAAACACTCAATGAAAGCAAGTATGCTAATTAGAAATGTGAAATTGGCTTAGTCATGAGATTCTCTTTTTGGGAGTTCAGAATATCCATGTAATCCTTTGTTTTCAAGCATATGTTTATCATATACGTTTCCAGAAAGAAAAAAGTGTGGAACTAAGGTACAAATACAAACAAAATTTAACCTTCAACAATGAAATATAGGTAATTCCTGTCTCTTTGTTTTTTAATTAAAAATAAATGAAATAAAGGAGATAAGGAAGCATGAAGAGAAAAGACAACCAACTATCCAAAACCAGACAAAAGCCAAAGCAATGTTTGTCTCTGGGAAACTATAAATTTGATAATAGAGCTAGAATGGCCAAGTGATTTACATTTACACAGAAGTTGTGTGTCTGTAAGAAATTTAACTTCCATATGCTGACAAATTAGCCAACACTGCTTTTTTGTTGTTGTTGTTATTTTTGTAATCTCACTCCTAGATGCTTTGAGTTTGCAGGAAACAAAATAATAAATGGTATACCTAAGAGTTGAATGGTATACACCCTTTTAAAAGGTGACTGTCAACAGTCTATTTCTTTCAGTGATTACAAAAGACTCATATAAATGGTTTATGTAGGAGTTTTCTGAATTAATTTCTATGCAGAATGCAATATTTAATAAAAGGTAAAACAAATGTGCTATTAGAAGTTTTCCTCTTGCCTTCTTAAAGTATATTCTTTAGTATTCTTAAATATATTCTTTAACATTCATATTCTTAAACTCCAATATTAATGATAAACATTACTGAATAACTAAAGTGTGAGTCTTGGAAGGGATGCACCTTCCTGCATCAAGCACCTCACCATCACTCGAGTGTCCTCTATTGATGAAGCTTAACTTTCAACTAGCTGGCAAAGGAGGAATGCTTACAGGATCCTGATTCAGTATCATAAAGCTGTATTAGGATATGAGGGACGATAAATTGAAAACTGGTGAGGCATAAAATTTCAAATTTCTCATTTGTTATTATTTTTAAGTTGTACCCTAAGACACTGAATCTTGGTAAAGTTTGGATGAGTAGGAGGCATGACTTTCTTTTTTGAAAGTTGGGGGCCATATAGAGGTTCAGACAAAGGTGAGCTTAGATTTGAGCCACTGAGTCCACAGTTCCACTGGTGGTCACTTGTCTAATGTCCAAATATATATTAAAAATTGAGATACTAGTAGGTTGGATTTTTGATTTCAGTAGTTGCTAGCTCGGACCTGGTTAGAGGGATTCTTGTTGTGCTGGGCCCATGGGTGCCCTTCACCTATCACCACTCTATTCATACTCCCAACAAACCAGCACTGGAGTCGCCAGTTATTTTGTGCTTTACCTATGATAAATATTAATTTTTACCAATTCAAATTATATAATGATATATAATTGATTTCATTGTTAGTCCCTAAATAATAAATTGATTAATCACTTTTTGGGTTTATGATCCAGTCAGAAATTTGTTCACGTACTGCACTCATTTTATCAAGTGATATTTTTCATTAGATTCTTCTTTAGTATAGAGACTTTATTAAGGATAAATTTGTTATTCATAAGAGATCCAGAATCCTAAGTCATCATGACCATGGCTCAGAGTGACTAGCAAAGAGACAAAATAATAAATGTCAGATAAACAAGTAAAACTTAATGAATAATCCTTAGTCAGGTAAGGTGAACTTTGCAGTTGGATTGATCAATAATAAAGAGGACATGCAGGTTGCAAGAGTTAGGACAGAATGAAATAAAAATTGAGATAATCACATTGAATCAGGGCATAAACACTTTAACAAAGCATATAATGGGTAGTTAAGACCAAGAAAACAACTAGAAACAAGAGAGCTTTGGAAGAAAAACTAATCAGTAAAGCTTTAACAGAAAGCAATTTTAGATTTTAATCAGTTTACTGGTAATTTTCAGAGCATTAAGTGATTCTTCTTGTGGGCTGTTCAGTCAATCATTCATTTCCACTTTATTTTATGTAATCAAACAACATTTCATATAATTAGGGAGCACATTTCTGATTTCAAGAATATCTAATTATTTTTGTATTCATCCTTCTCACCTCATCCCATTCTTCTTTTATGTTAGTGACTCTTTCATCCCTGAACATTTGAATCATTCTTATATAAAAATCTCATTTTGTAAAGTTATGGTGGTACATACCTGTAATCTCATCCCTTTGGGATGCTAAAATGGGAGGATTGTTTGAGCCCAGGAGTTTGAAATCAGCATGGAGAACACAATGAGATCTCATCACTACAAAAAATAAAAAATTAGTTGGACATGGTGACATGCACCTATGGTCCCAGCTACTTGGGGGGCTGAGGTGAGAGAACCTCTTGAGCTTAGTAAGTTGAGGCTGAAGTGAGCCATGATCACATTTCAATATAAGTGCAACAAATTTCAATACAAGCTCATATGGCTTTATATTATTTTTTATTTCCCCTAGTGTTTTCTTCATTGCCACAGAATATTTCTAACCATTAACTGGGTGGTAAATCTCTGAAAAACAAATTTTTACTTGACAAGGTAGACTTCGAAAGGATTTTTTTTTGTCACAGGAAGAAAGAAATCTTGCATCACAATATTTATTGCTGGAATCAACTGAAGTATTCCTATCTATCAGGTTTTCCAGCTTCAAATCTCAGATATAACTAATCCCTTTTTCCCTTCTTTCCTTTTCTAGCAAACTTCCAGAAACAAAACAGACAACACTTTGTGATGATAAATAGCACGGTTGCCACACAAGCCAGCAGGAACCCAATCACATCCAAAGAGTGGTACTGGAACCAGGTGAGGTTGTGGGCTGCAACTCGAAGATGTTTGGCTCCTTTGTGGCGCATGACAAATTCAATCCAGAAGACTGCTCGATCCAGGGGCTTCACTGGTTGATCATGTTGAATTCTTGATAATTTCATAATATTCTCTTTATATCTGAAGGATAAAAATAAAGATACCGACACTGAAAGTAAGTTAATTTGCCTGTAGATATCAAGTCTATGAAAGGCTTTTAAAGTGTCAAATAATTCAAAGTAAATGTCAAAGAATTGATATAGAATTTATGTATTTTAATTTGAGTCATCATACAAAGTTTGGCTTTTAAATTGGACTTTTCTCATTGACAAATATTTTTAAAGTAGAAAAGGAAAGTCAGGTGAGAAAGTTATTTTTTTCAAGCAGAGAAAGTATCAGGCATTTTTAATTTGTTTTTAATTTTTTAATTTTAAGTTTTTGTGGGTCCATATTAAGTGCATATGTTTATGGGGTATATGAGATGTTTTGATACAAAGTGAAATAATCACATCATGGAAAATAAGATATTCATTCCTTAAGCATTTATCCTTTGTATTATGAACACATTCCACATTACACTATTAGTTCTAAAACAGGCATATTAGAACGTGCTCAACATCATGAGCCATTTTAAGTGCTGCAAGAAAGATGTGAAAATGCAATCTGAGAATTAACATCTCTAAGTTCCTAAAAAGGAATTTTATCATGGTGAGTGACATGCCTCATAGCTAGTCACTTGGCTTCTAGATTACTCTTTTGTCTCCTACTGTTTCCCACCCTGTAGCCAGAATGATGTTTTGCAACTAAAGTGAGATTATGGCACTCCCCTGATTAAGATTTTTGCCTGGCTTCTCATTATTTTAAGAATAAAATCCAACTCTGTTATTTGGTCTACAGAACCCTACATTGTTAGACACTGGCAAGGTCTTTTTCTAACACTTTTACCTGCACACTGTCTTCTAGATTGGCCTACTATTTTTCTTTAAGCTTCCAAAGGTGTTCTCATCTTAGCACTTTACACATTTTATCCCTTCTCTCCCGCTCTTGGAGTATTCTTTCTTGCTATACCCAAGGCATGCTTCTCTCCCTTTTTGTGGCTTCCCTCTAAGTGTTACCTCTAAGAGAGGCTTTTACTGGCCACAATCTGACGGAACCTCTAGGATTTTCTCTGTTTACTGTGCTTATTTTCTATCTGATTCCTAGAATTTTTAAAATGATTTATATATCTCATAAAATATATATTTAAATACAAAATACAAAAGATAAATATACGTACACTAAGTGAATAGTTCAAAAATGGAAGATCATCTTGAACATTATCTTGAGGCAAAAATACCAATTTACCTATTGTTCAGTTCATGGTACAGGATATCACAACCTGCCTAGAATAGCTCTCTTTTTCTGAACCATTTTGTCACCACTTTTGTCCACCAACTAAAGAATAACCGGACTTTGAATAGCAGCACTAGCTTTGCTTGTTTATGTAATTGAATTATATAATATGTACTCCTTAGTGTTTATTTTTTTTAGTGTAACCGTTCTTGGGTAATTCCATTGCTGTGTAGTATTTTGTTGATGGATAAAGCACAAACTATGTCTTCATTTTATGTTGAATAGATATTTCTGTTGCTAACGCTTTTTGGACACTGTTGATAATTCTGTCATGACCACTCTTCTATATACCATTAGATTTATATATTTATACATATCTGTTGGGTATATAATTGAGAGTAGAATTGCTGAGATAACAGTGCATGCATAATTATGATTTACTTCTTGACTTTAAATATTTGAAGTGTATTTTGTTAATTTCCAAAATTTAAAGATATTTTAGTAATAGTATTTATAACCTCCCTTACTTCCACTATGGCTGGATCATATAGTCTTTATGATATTGAATCTTTTTATATTTCCTAAGTCTTGATTTATTTCCCACCACATGCCACTTCAAATGACTATTAACTATTCAACATGCTCTAGGAAAATGTGTCTTCCAGTTGATATATACGATACATATATGTGTATTGTATATGTACATGTGTGTATATCATTTTACATTATAAGATTCCATTTGTTAATTGTGTTCTTCAAACGTTTTATGTCCTTACTCATTATTTGCTTGTTTTTTTAAAAAAGTCTGTTTAGGTTGAGTGAAAGTATTTGTATAATCACATTTAAATCTACCACTTTGTTTTATATTTCTTTTCTATTTGTCCAAGTTGGTTTGTGTTTCTATTCAATTATTTCCCATCTTCTTTAAAGGTGTTTTGATCATTCTTTATCCTTCTATTGTCTTTGTGATAAAGTATTTTTAGAGTATTTCTTTAGATGATACCCTCCTTACACAAAGGCCAATGAACTGATAAATGAACAACTAAATTATGACGTATCTATATTAAAAAATATTATACAAGTGTAAAAGAAATTAAATATTAAAACACACAACGACATGAATTAAACTAAAAACCATAAAAAAAAATTAGGCTAGGTGAAATGTCATTTACACAGTACCCTAGACTGTATGATTCCATTTATATGAAACATCTATAGAGAATAATCTATAGAGAAAGAAAACAAATTGGTGTTAGACTATGACTAAGCAGTCATGGGAGGTGATTTTGGTGTCACTGCAGTTTCTTTTGCGTTGATAAAAATGTTCCAAACTTATACACTGGTGATGACTTCATGACTCTGTAAACATAGTAAAAATATTTGGAATTTTTGCCATAAATAGGTGGGTTTTATGCTATCAAAATTAAATCTCATTTTCAAGTCTGTTACAATAAAGATAATAATAAAAATTAATTTTTCTGCAAGAAAATAGTTATATTCTGAGACATTTTAGATATTTAATTAAAACATTTTATTATATTATTTCAAGATTATTCTTCCTTTCTACTATGGATTCATTATGTCAAATTTTTAAGAAATGTATTTTTTTATATTATCTATATCATTTTAAAATTATTTTTATTTAGAAAACTGTTTCACTAACTGGTTACTCATTAGATGTATGGGGTTCAAATACAATTTTTAAATAACAGATAAAAAGTAAAAGCAGATTTCGGATTGGTTAAATCATTTAAATTCTTTCAAAATCACTCTCTTATAAAAAGGATGAAACTCATGCTCACTACTGACAAGAAAAGCTATCTATTAATACCATCTAGTGAAAAATATTGTTCTACTCACGAAGGATCATTAATTACTGTCTTCAGTGCATTCAGCAGGTCTGTACTCGACATTGTGTTGAAGTCCACTCTAACAGCTGCTCCCTTGGCCTTCATGTGAGCAATATTATCAGGTTGATCAAAAAACAATGGAATGCCCACCATAGGGATCCCATGGTAGATTGCCTCATAGATGCCATTGGCTCCACCATGAGTTATAAAAGCTCTGGTTTTTGGATGACCTAGGATTGGATGAATTTTAGCAAAATTATTCATAGGAATAAAATGAGATGCACAATGAAAGGCTCTGAAAGTGACAGTGTTTTCTAGATAACACACTGAACTAATTTGCTATTACTTTTCAGATTTCAGAGGAAAAAACAGGTACTTGTGTTGGAGATGTAACTGAAGGCTATATGGTGGTGTGACTTCAGACTGCAAAACTTAATACAAGATTTCCAGTTGGACTAATGAAAAAGAGCATTCTAGATTTTTAAAATGTGCACAAAAGAGGACAGCAAAGAGATGGGCATGAAATGAAGTGTTATTCTAAGTACAGTCACAGAGTGTGATATGTGGGGTGTGCAAGGCAGCAGGCAGTGGGTTGGTGGTGGTGCTAAGATTGAGGAAAGACAGGTCACACTTCATCATGAAATGTGTCATTACTTTAAGATTAGGAATTTAGTCCTCCAGAAAATACAGTCACTGGTGATAGAAGAGCTATTATATTTAGTGGCATTTGAAATAACCCTGCAGGAGAGGAGAAAACAGGTGTAAAGTTGTAGAAACAGGAGACAGAGGGACAGCCCAGGAAGATATTGAAAAATTCTGTGAGATATAATAGCACCTGAAATAAAGATTACCTCTGATTCTGACCACAAAGAATGTGAGTGTGTATCACAAAATGCCAACAATTATAACATATTCTTTTCCCCTAGGACTGGAAAATAAATATAAAGAAGTTCTTTTTTGTTTTCCTATAACAAATATTCAATAAGCATGCTTCGAGATGAACTATTAACACTCTAATGTGCAGTTACTAATATATCCAGTATTGTTCACCAGAGTGTTACCTAGAAGGTCATTCTGGGGTATCCACTTGTACAGTCGAGTATTGAGACCTAAGGCATCTGGTTTATTCCCATCAAATCTCCAAAGAACCTGTTACAGTAAAGAGAATATCTTATTCCACGAGTGGAACTCAAAAGTTATAAAATGTTAGAACTGTAAAAAGAGTAGAAATGAAATCAAGGGATGTTAGTAAATAAATCTACTCAAAGACTGATGCAAAAAGAATAACCACATTTTATTTTCTGAACTTTTATAATGATTTAGGTATATAAGAAACCATTATTTTCCAAAGTAATACCTTAGAAAAATAAGATTATCAATGAAAAGTTCAAGTATTTAGAAAATTTTTATACTTTTTAAAAGAAGAACTACCTGCGGCTAACCATCGAAGAAAAAAAGTTTAACATCACACATCATTAGAGAAATTCAAATCAAAACCACAATGAGATAACATCGCACACCAGTCAGAATGGCCATTATTAAAAACTCAAAAAATATCATGATGTTGGCGAGGTTGTATAGAAAAGGAATGCTTATACTCTGTTGGTTGGAATGTAAGTTAGTTCAATCATTGTGGAAGACAGTGTGGTGATTCCTCAAAAACCTAGAGGCAAAAATACCATGAAACCCAGCAATCCCATTACTAGGTATATAACCAAAGGACTATAACTTGTTCTGTCATAAAGATCCATGAAACTATATGTTAGTTGCACTACTATTCACAATAGCAAGGACATGAAATCAACCTAAATGACCATCAATTATGGACTGAATAAAGAAAATATGGTATATATACACTACAGAATATTATGCAGCCATAAAAAGAATAAAAATATGTATTTTGCAGGGATAAGGATTGAGCTGGTGGCCATTAGCCTTAGCAAACTAACATAGGAATTGAAATCCAAGTGTAACAAGTCCTCACTTATGAGTGGAAGCTAAAAGATGAGAACACATGTACACATAGAAGGCAACAACATACACTGAGATGTATTGGAAGGTGGAGGATGGGAGGAAAGAGAGGATCAGGAAAAATAATAAATGAATATTAGTCTTAATACGTGGGTGATGAAACAATCAGTACAACAAACCCCCATGACACAAGTTTCCCTATGTAAAAAACCTGCACATGTACTCCTGAACTTAAAATAAAAGTTAAAAATAAAAGTTAATTTAATTAAAAAAATAAAAATATTATAAAAAAAGTATAAAAAATTATAGGGAGTCATTGTAATTCTGGTATAAAAAAAGTAACAATTTAGTAATGACCTATATGTTTATTTTGTTTTATGTATTTTATGTTAGTTTTCATCTCCAAATTTAATTGTAATGTATTCGTTTCTTTTTGAGTAATATGAGTAGTTTCAATATATCTACTTGTCTGTAAGTTATTATATTACAGCCTGTTGTCCTTTGATTGACAAAATAGCAAGTCTATAAAATAAGCTACTACAAGAAATAAATAAATGCTGCAAGGGTTTTATGTATAACTTCATTGGAATTACAAATTATCAAGCACTACTTCCAAGAAAAATTTCAAGTGACAATTTTTGACACAAATTCAGAGTATTACCAACCAGTATTGCTAATTTTGGATTTTTTTGGCATAGAAATAAGGAACATGTTGGTATCATGAATAAAAATAAAGCTTTTGAATAACCTCAAAATTGTATTTTGCTGAATTTGGTCAACAGATTATTAACACTTAGACAAGGTGCTACAAAGCTTTGACAACAGTGATTAATATGTTCTTCTATAGCCAAGACATTTTTATGTTGTTACTAATTTTGAAACTCCAAAGCAATCCTCATAAACTGAACAATAATTTACAGTGTTTAATTTTATTTGCTACATCACTGTTAAAGTAACTCAGGTTTAAGCAAAATTTAGAGGCCATTACAAGAAAGCTTTATCAGATAGGAAATTAGAAAGTAATTGACAAATGGACAAAGGTCACTGGTTTATTCTATATAGAAGAAAATATATTCCTACTATGTTCTATGGAGGGGGCATCTGAACCTGTTCCCCTGCCTGGCTTCCTTCTGTTTGTCTCCTTCCTATATTTCCTTCTGCTGCGTCCATTGGGAGGGGTTGTTAATCTGGTAATTAGTGCTGAGTCCTTGTGGGGCCACATTTTATACTGGACAGGATCCACCTTCAGGTCAGGATCCATCTGCACCTTTTCCTTTTCACCTGCCTGCTTCAGATATTGGCTGGGCCCAGTCCAGCAGGGCAAGCTGCTTTTTCTCTTTCTCTAAATCTACCTGGTTGTGTGGGTACTTGGACTAGTTGTCTGTTGGCCTAGGCCACTCTTTCTCTGAATAGTAGCCTGAACATCATTCAGATAGGCCTATGCCAAAATGTAGAGGAAGTATCTGAGGCTGGATAATATGGCAAACCTAAACTGCATGATGCATGTCAGACTTTTTGAAATACCTGCTATTGTTATTGTGCTACTGAAGTCACCCATTAAAACGTAACTTTTTCTGATAACATCTGTAGTGTGTACAGTGCCCTCAGGAATTCTTAAACAAAAGGGTCAAATGACAGGGGCAGAATTTGGTGATAACTCTTACCTGATCCCTATAACATGATAATATCGATACTTCATCTACATTTCTTAAATAAATTTATTCCTGGTCATATTATTAATGCCAAACTTATTATCAATGAAAAACAGCCTATTATTATAGCATCATCCATGTATATTTTTGATTTTGAACTAATATCTGAGATAATTAGTGCTTTCCCAAAAGCTCTAATTTTTAGGCCCGAACTTTCTTTTTTATTTGTCATATTCATAAAGTTTATTTTAAAAAATTTTAAAAACTTACCATACAGGAATATTTATTAATATACTTAAAAAGTTTGTTCCCTATGCTGAAGTAAAATACATTAGTGACATCTTCCAGGCACCATGTTTATAAAAGTAAAACTTCTAGGTCCTGAAATATACTACAGTAGAGTCTCTAGTTTACTAGTTTACTTTTTTTGAGACAGAGTGTGGCCCTGTAGCCCAGGCTGGAGTGCAATGTTGTGATCTTGCCTCATTGCAACCTCCGCCTCCTTGGTTCAAGGGATTCTCCTGCCTCAGTGTCCTGAATAGCTGGGGTTACAGGCACACACCACCACTCCTGCCTAATTTTTTGTATCTTTAGTAGAGACAGGGTTTCACCATATCGTTCAGGGTGATCTCGATCTCCTGACCTCGTGATCTGCCCGCCTTGGCCTCCCAAAGTGCTGGGATTACAGGCGCGAACCACCATGCCCATCCTATAGTTTACACTTTTAATCACAGGACTGGAATTCATTCTTTTTACTCCCCTACTCTCCACATATGCCAGTTATTATTCCTATATTAATGACATTCAATCATGCTATACTACCACTGATCCTTAAATAGAGTATATACTGCATAATGACCACCAGAGCCAGTCTTCTCTATTTGTTGCCACATATTTCATATAAGCATTTGACTTAAAGTACAAACAGAAATACTACATTCCTTAATTGTAAACATTCACCAAGGGCTTCCAGAGTACAATAAGTAATAGAGGTGGCCCAAGAGTTAGTCAAGTGTTCTTCACCCATTGGATACTGCTGAGATTAGGAAAACTCTTTTGAAGAAAATTATCATAAATCTTACTTGTATTTCTACAAGAACACAGTTCTGGATATATATTTTTAGTTGAAAACACCTGAAAGTCATTCTAAAGACTACATTAAGCACCATTTTCACTTAACTGAAATATATTGAGTTAAATTCAGCAGTAGGTATGACTGTTAACATCAGAAATTAAAAGTAATTGTGGGTCTCAAGTTCCCTTTTGTGGATACATATGGAGTACTGAGTTCCCACTGATGCTAATAGGAATCACTCATGCATACCAAGGGTAGTAACTACCCCAGGGCCACATGTAATCACTAAGTCTGAGGCACAACTATTACTTCTGTCAGTGGATGCTATACAAGCATATTTAAGGTTGTATTCAGCTATAAATAGTTCAGTCTACTCTTTAATATTCTTTCTATGTAGATCACAAACTTTAACAGCCTCTTTCAGTAGTTTTCCACACCAGTAAGGCACTTTATCTTACCTTTTGTGGGATCTTGGCAAGGGCTGTTGCAATTACGTTGGCCCTTTCTTCTGTCATGTTACTGACCATTGACCCCAGAGAAAACACCACAACACCATTTTCTCCAGAGCTCTGTACAAACTCCTCCATTTCCGGTGGGAAAAAGAAAAAATGTTTCATCATAAAAGAGTATCACCACAGCAGGCACTACCGAAAGAATTGGTACAAAATATTAAAGAGAGAAAATCAAGTATTTTGAGGAATTATTGGAGTAAATAATATTTTTTAACTGACTCAATCACTGTTTCTTTGCAAGAAGATGTATGAGATAGTTGGCCTCTGTTAAGGATATTTGTGTAAATATGTGTGTGTATGTAGGTATGTGTCTGTATGTGTGTAATGGAGAAAAGAAAAGGAGCTATTACATTGTAGTCAGGGAGATAATGTTAAAACATATACCCAGACTCTTCACTTATAATACTATAATTGCTACTATAAGTCCTTGGAAAAGTGGCACCACTAGGGTTTAATCTATATTTTTGTTCTACTAAATCACTTGTGTTTATTTCAGGCAGGTTTTCTGTAGAATTCTTTTAGTTTGAAGCCATTAGTGGTTTACTTCCCTAACTATGAGTACTGAGGAAAAGCTACTCACAGTTGGGATAATTTTATATCTACATTTACGTTACTCTACAATGCTTTTTGCTTCACTTAAAATTTGTCAGAGTTTTCCAGTAGTTTTTCAAAAAATAAAATAAAAAATAAAAGCTGGGGGTTAAGAATCACTGACATTCTGGAGTCTAGTATTGTGATTTGGAATATTTATGAATCAGTCCTTAGAGTCTCATTTATAATACAGAATTGTACAGTTTATAGTTAGTAGTTGAATAATTGTACCTTTCAGGTTATTGTTTAGGTGGAGCACGTATTGCCCTGAAATCACACTGTTAAATTGATGTGCTATTTCTAACTGCATGTGAGGAACTCTCATCATCACTTTGTTGTGTCTCAGAGGCAGCACTTGCACCAGAATAGGAGAGGCCACCAGGCCTTTCTTCAGGGGGATCTTGTCTCTCTTTTGAGTAGCTCACGCACACCACATTACACTCCTGGTGAAGATGTGCTTGGCTGCAATTGATTGAGAATTATTCTGACTTGAGTTCCCCAATGTATGCCAATATATAAATTTAAATACTTTCAGATTTAATCATTGGGGTAAAACTTTCCCCAGTGGTTTTTAACAAAACATAGAAAAAATGTGTCTAAGTGTAAACTGTGCACCACATATGGCAGAACGTTTTTTAAAATGTGATTTGTAATCTTAAGTTAACGTGAGAGTCCCTGTACTACTATTCCACATAATACTTGGGGCATCTAGGTATTGTGTGTGATTGCAGTTACCTGTAGCCACATTTAATGTAACTCGTGTTCAGTGTTTCATCTTACTGGCTTGATGCCAGAGCCTTGTTTTTCTATGCAGTGTTGAAGGAATCTAACCTCTGTGTAGAGATTCATCACTGATATTGACTGGTTGTTTCTCCTTTTGTGATAATGTTATAAAAATACTACAAAGTTAATGTAAGAAATTTTATAACAGTAAGAAAAGTTTTTTAAAAATAATTTTTTCTAAAATTTCTATCTAGAGATATTATTTATAGAAATTATGTATTTTTTATTATGGATTTTGCCCTACTTATATAGGTCAATGTACATACACGACACTTATTTAGAAAATTTTAATCTCATTTTATATACATTTCCTCCTGCAAAAATTTGCCATCGTGTTATATTTATAATTTTCTTATTCACTGTATGTGTATTATGGCTGACAGCATAATTGAACATTTCATTGATAAAATCATTTTAGTGCTATTGTAGGCATATGTTTCTAATCATTATTTCATGTAACATGTTGGATTACTTCCAATGTTAATTTTGTGAATATTTTCCATAATGTTTAAAAGGTACACCTTGATTAATTTTTTTATGATTTCACATGACTATATTATAAAACTAATAACAATATGTATTTTTAAAACACCTGATACATTTTGTCAAGTGTCTTATTCTCTTAAAATATATAGAAATTATCTGAGAATCTAATATATAATTGAAAAGAAAGCAACCTGGCTTAGCAAATATTTTACATAATAAACAATTAAAGAACTGGTTTCACAACCATTGACTTTCATTCAATGCTTTCTGCAAGTTAATAACAAGAGCTAGTATTAGTTATTACCACTATTGTACTACCAGTCAACCTTTTTTTCTTGTCCTTCTACATTGTCCTACTCTCTTCCTCCTTCTACTGGCACTGTCAGTTTCCCTTAGTGTGAGTGGGGAAATCTTTCAAGAGTAGGGTAGAGTGGCATATATTTTTCATTAGTCTTACCTCAACTTTTGTCTCTTAAGAAACTGACTCTATAAAGCCTATACAACTTGCATTAAACATAGATACTGAGTTTTAACAATGGAACAAATTCTCAGTTTTATGCAAGCAAAAATGATCTTTTAAGAGATTGCATAATAATCCATTGAAGAAGCCTTACTTTTTACATATGCCTTAAAATGTGATGTTAATTAAAATATATGAAGTTCTTGTATTCCTTCGAAAAGAATATAATCTTATATGCTGACGGAATTTTTTTTCGTATTGAAATTAAGGGCACTATTCAGAAACAAGTGGCAGAAATTATTTGGTCTTTATTATACATGCATTGTTCATTATCTCTGTGCTTCTCTGTCAGACACCTATGATGTCAAGACGAGTTCCCCCAGGAAGCTTTATTGAGTGGCCTGTCATAAGGCAGAAATCATCTGCTCTAATAGGATATGTTTATGCTCTAAAATGTAAAATTCTGGGATCTCAATGCAGAATGATTTAAATGCTTTATTAAAATCATGTGAACCCTGTGTTTGTCTGCACATATTTGAGGCACACATTTATATTGTTGAGGAAGTGTTTTAAGCTGGAATACTGGTGAAGATCCTTATTACTTATGGAAGAATTTTAAAATTTCAACTAGCTTATCTTGCTGTCACAACTGATATGTCTACTTTTAATCAAGTCCAAGGGTATCTGTCATCTATGACATTCCAAGACAATATAACCTTGATGTGCTGAATAATCTGGTTCTCTTAAATGAGGAATGATATCTCAAGTGACATGCACATGTTAAGTAGTTAGTAGTATTAGTAATAAAATAACCATAATTGCAAAATTAATAACATTTCTGAGTCACTGACTATATGCCAGAGACATTTTAAGTGTTTTGTCTGTGTTAATATTTTTTTCCACACAACACAATATGAAGTTGGCACTATTTTTGTAAATGTAGGCATAATTATTTCTATCAACAGTGTAGTCCACTTTTTCATCATCTGCTACCTGAATCCATGGAAAATTTCCTGAATGTTTCGGTCTTTACAGTCTGGCCCTTCTGCAATTTAATCCATTGAATATCTTGGAGGCTTTTCTTATAAAAAGAATCATTTCATATATCCTTATTTCTGAACTCTTTTTAGGATGTTTTCAATGTTCTTAATAAATATTTCAACTCCTAATACGTATCTGGCTCTAATTTACCTTTTAGGGTCATCTGATTCTTAATCATTCCCTGCAAACTAAACCTGAGGACTTGAGAACTGTCCTGACCACTTTATCTGCTTTCCCTTTTTGTCTGTCTCTCCCCACCATTCTTTTCCCTATTCCTGCATATTGTTCAGCTCTCATCGTACTCATCAGTGACTCCAGGATACTTTCTATTATCTCCACTGATGCTTTCTTAGCATTGGGTTTTTTTCTTGAGATAATAGTTTTTATATAATATTCATTACTTACTTATATTCTATATTTCAAAGTAGAATGTAAGGTATGTAGGGACAGAAACTGTGTCTATTTTTTTTCTCTGAAAATTGTGCACTTACCTGTGTTTTGTGATAATCTCTTTGTAAATATTCTTTGAATGAATGACCAATACCTTCTTAGGTGTTGCATAATCAAGACTTTAATTTAACCAACCCTATTTTCAAAGTTTCTTTAGTATTCCTCTCTATTTGTAACATGCATAAAACTCACATACGTGTGATGGTATTAACATGTACATGAGTTTCTAATTGGTATCTGCTTTACCCCACCTACTTCCCATCTTTTTCAGTGTTAGTCAAACACTCTGAATGAAGACTATACAGTCATTTCTACTGAAATTTGAAGCCAACAAAATAAAACCAACGAAAGTATGTTTACCTTAGGTAGGGGTTTGGCAGGTTTGCAGTGGAGTCCTCCAACAAAATCAACATTTGGTAAGAATGGATGAGGAAATTTAAAATTCCAGGAGTTTCGCATAAGCCATATGTCAGCTTTCCTCATTGTCTCAGATAATGTAGTGGGTCTTCCTGATAGGAATAAAGAAAAGAAGAAGTGGATGACATAAGATAATTACTTTATGTAATTTTCTGAAAGGGGTTAGAATAATGCAGGCAAAAATGTTGGTAAAGTTTGTGTGCTTTGAAAAATATGTACATATATTCATATATAGGAATAATTTATTTTTTATGTATTCTATATTTTGCCCTTGTTTATTTATAAGAAAGGCAAAGTAGTGGGAGAATTATGAGGTTAAGCTACATCTCTAATGTCATGTCAGTATACTCACAATTATTAAAATAAGTCATAGAGAATTAAACATCAATTTATTTTCTCTTTAAAGCTTCAATAGTAGCCTCTAGATATTTAAACAAATCTTTGAGCTCCATAATCAATTAATTCTACAGTAACCATAGAAACAATTTTCTAACAAATAGTCTAGTTTACACAACTCATTAAGCTAATCCTTTTATCTTTGGTTCTTCAAGTTAACTGTGGACTATTTTGTGAGTATGGCTGAAATCATTGTACCAACTACTCATTTGGATCCAAGCTAAGATCTTAATAATATTAAGTAAAAATATTTGTAAATTATAGCTAGAAATTTTTGAGAAATTATTGAAATAGAGATCTGTACTCGACCATAATCAGTCTCGTATTTTTAAATAAAGAGACATAGTTTCAAATAAACTATATAGATATAACAACCTTCACACTTCAACAAGATGATTGGACTTTAAATAAAAGATTTCCAATTATTTAGTGAAGGAGTATAGAAACATTTGAAACTTCAAATTACCCTTATTGATTTTTGCATCTGAGATATAGACATTATCTCTCTCTACTGTGAAGACAACCTCCTGGTAACATGGGAACATCTTTTAATTTCTAAATAAGACAACTGAGATTTAGAAGGAAAAATTTCTGCAGTTATATAGATAGTTGTAGAAAAATGTGTAATTACTCATTCTAAATCTATGCATTCGGTTAGATGTTACTTGACGGATCTTGCTGTTTTTAAGATCTGAAACATTCTATAGTAAAACAGATATATAATTGCTTAAAGTCTTAGGTGTACTAATATATAGGTTTATGATTTCCTGGGGTGTTCTGTATGAGTGATGGTCACAGCGTTTTCACTGACCCTATAATTTAAGCTTTTCTATAATATTTGTGAGATTGGTAGATCATCTTGTATTTTCATTTCATAAATTCATTTACCAAAAACTCCACTTCCCTGACTTTATGGCTTTATGCAAGTTGTGCTTCAAAGACACAAATAAGTTAGAGCTTCATGTTACTAATTGAAAAAAATCTTACCTAAAACTTCACTGTAAAACTGATCCCACTTCTTCATATTAAATATTTGGAACCAAAAGTCAAAATAAAGCACATAGAGCATATTTTTTACCCTCTCCATGAAAGTCATTTGATCACTTAATTTTGACATAACAACAGGTACGTAGGAAGGAGGGAAAATAAATCCTCCACTGTGCCTTTCAAATGAGTAGCCAGGACTGAAGCTGTGACTGTACACAAAGGGTATGTTAAATAGCTCAGCCAGCAGCTCACCACAGGGTAAATAAGCATCTGCAAAAACGATGTCAAATCTTGACTCTTGTAGTTTTTTCATAAGTTTCTTATTTGAAACTACATCTTTACAGAAGTTTCTAATTATGTCATTAATTGCCCACAGGATTTCTTGTTCTTGTGAAAAAGGTAACCAAAATGTATCTTTTTGAATTTCTGACAATCTCTTAACCAATTGCATGATGATATTCTCAAATTCAGTTTTAGTTAAAGATGTAGGATAAACTTCAAGTTTAAGAGTGGATGAGTCGTTGGGATCAAAAAGAATGGAAGCTGAAGATGCCAGTACAGTCACCTCATGACCTCTCTGAACAAGTTCTTTCAGGATTGTCTTCATATTCATCCAAAGGCTGTATTCTGCGGCCCATACCAGCACCTTTCCACAACTCCCAGAGCTAAAGTAAAAACTGAGTTGTATCAGCAGAACTGTAGTCCATTTCAGAGCCATCCTTGTGCAATGTGATAATTCTTTTCCAGTCACTGTTTCTTTCTCATACTTATATACAGAGATAAATCAATCAAGTTAAAACATAACTCCTTCAATTCAAAGTAAATACATTATATGAGCATCCTGAGTACATGGATGGCAAGGAGACAAAGTTCGATTACTTCATATTTACTCAAGGATGTTTGATGTTTCTTTTATGTTTATATTTGGTGTCATCCACCTAAGTTTAATGACCTTGCAAATATCGTGTTTTATATAATGTATTTTATAATAGTGTCAAGAACAGTGGCAAGTGAGAGAGTCCTGCAGGCCCCTTGACACAGAATGAGAGATGAAGTAATTATACAATGCAAATAGAATTTTTGAATATCTTGGTTCAAGGAATATTTTGTAAAACTTTGTTGAAGTATAATTCACATACCATATGATTCATGAATGATTATTTAAAATTAAATATTTCCTAGTAAATTCACAGACTTGTGCATCCAACATAGCAATCAGTTTTATCTAAAAAAAAAAAAAATCCTGTATATTAACTGTCATCTCCCCACCTGAATTTCTGCACCCACACTGTACTGGGCAACCAGTAATCTAATTTCTGCCTCTACAAATATGCCTATTCAGGATCTTTTTAAAAATAAATGAAACTATATAATATGTGGTCTTTTGTGGCTGGCTACTTTTATTTAGTTTAATGTTTTTAAAGGACCATCCATAGAATAGTGTATATAAGGATTTCATTTTTATTGCTTTTTATCAGATGCTACTTATAAGCAGAAATTATTTATTCATTTTTCAGTGGATGGACATTGATTTTCTTCCACTTTTGGCCATTATAAATAGCGTTCACATTTTTATTGCCAAATAGTATCAGATGCTACTTATAAACACAATTTATTTATTCATTCATTTATCAGTGTACGGACATTGTTTTTCTTCCACTTTTGGCCATTATGAATAGCGTTGATTAACATTGATGTACATGCTTTCTGTAGACATGTTTTTATTTTTCTTGGGTATATGCCTAGAAAGGCAATTATTGAATTATGTGGTAAATATATGTGTAAACTTTTGAGGAATTGCTAGACTTTTTCACAGTGGGTGAATAATTTTCTATTCTCACCAACAATGTATGAGAGTTTCAGTGTCTCCACCAACTTGCCAAACCTCATCTTTCAAATAACAAAAAAGGTTATTTTCTATTTTAATTCATTAACACACTCTAACAGACACAAAGAAAGGAAAGTTTCCTTCCACATATTGGAGGGAAAAGGGAATAAATTAACCACTAACTTACCTAATACTTCACTGTAAAACTGATCACACTTCTTTTTGTTAAAATTATCAAATGCAAAGTTAAAATGAAGAAAATGCAAAAGATTTTTCATCTTTCTGTAAATGTATTTTGGTACTAAGTTCTGACATGACAACAGCTACATCAGAAGGAGGTAATGAAAGTCCTCCACAGAGTTCTTGGTACATACTGCCAGTTGTAAATGGATGATAGTAGACCAAATGTATAACAAATGTTTAACAGATTAAGCTGTTCAGATAGCAGCTCACTAATGAGAAATGACATCTGCAAGAATGACATAAATTCTGGAATCTTGTTGTTCCTTATAAGTTTCTTGTTCAAAACAGCATACTCACAGAGCTTTTGAACAGTATCAGAACATTCATAATATGTGTTTTTTGTATCTTTGAATCATATGCCAAAATGTACTCTTTGGAAACTTGTATGTCCATATCTTGATCAATTTCATAAAAATGAAATCAAGTTCATTCTCAGTAAAAGATGTGGGATAAACCTCAAATTTAACAGCAAATTGTTGGAATCAATGAGGATGGAAGCTGAAGGTGACAAGCACAGTTACCTCTTGGTGTTTCTGAGCAAGTTCATCAAGTATCATTATTAAATTGATATAAAGACTGTATTTCACTGGCCACACCAGCACATTCTCACAGGACTCAGAGCTAGAATACAACTGTCAGCATAAGAAACAAAAAAGCCCATTTCTTAGACAACTTGTTAAAATGCTATCTTTCTTTCTAACTTTCTCTAACTTGGTACATATCAATGTCAATCAATGTCACAATGATTTAAGTGTTGACAATAGAGTTTTTGGAAAGCAAGAGAATAAAGAAAAGGATGAATGATTTTGTGTTTGTATGTGTGAATAATAAATTTATTGTTATTTGCTTATTGTAAATGTGGCTGTCTCCAGAACAAGAGATAATTTAATTGTATATAAAGAGTTTCTAGTATAAGAAAGCATCATTCTGTCAACAATGAGGCAGTGGTGTGATCTATTCTTATTTATCTAAACATTCTCAAATAGAATATCTTCATTTTCTCTATGTAGTTTCACACTTATTATATTAGCTTCATTTCATGTTCCTTGACATTGTTTTTCTGACTGTAGAAATTCCTTTTATTTTTATCCAAACAGATATGTTTTAAGTACAATTACAGTTACTTTGTTTCATTTGAAAATATTTTGTCTAAATCACAATAATATCCTTTTCTGAATATTTGCAACATTGCTTACATTTCTCAGTCTTAGAAAATATTTATCTTCTAAATGCCTACTACTTAACTTGTTTCACAGATTGCCTTGTAATTCAGGCAAGTTGTACTTTTAAAAAGTCTAAATAGAAATTTACATCAAGTAGAATTAGGAAGGAAAAGATGCATGTCACAAAATAGAGATATTTGTTTTTATTCTATTAATAATCTGTTAATCTGAAATGAGGTAAATCTTTCTTAAAAAGATATTTGAACACAGTTTCTGAGCAAATATTGCCTGGAGAGTGGCAATATTGTTCAATATTTTCAATGTCCTTGAGTGCAGGCATTATGTGTCACCCAGATTTCCCTTTTGGGAATATAGAAATTACTTTCCAGCTGATGAAGTGATGAACAACTGACATACCTCACCTATAAGCTCTCTCTCTCAGTACATCTCTGCTGAAAGCTATCTAGTATGTAGTGACTTTTCCAAGACAGCCAATATCCAATGCCTGGTCACATGTAGGACTCTAAAGGCCCATTCTCCTCATTTCAACTTGGACCAACTCTGAAGGGCTAACTTAGCTTCAGAATTTCCAGTGGGTGAGATGAAACCTATGCTGAGACTGCATGTCTTAGCATGCTCAGGGTGCTATATAGAAAAATACCATACATTGGCTAGCTTACAGACAACAAACATTTATTTGTCACAGTTCTTGAGGCTGAAAGATTCACCATCAAGATGCTGGTATTGGGCATTCCTCCAAGATGGCAACCCATCACCATGTCTTAATGGGGAAAATAGATGAATGAGTTATTGTGAGCATATTTTTCAAAAGAATTAATTCCATTAAAGAGGACTCTGCCTTCATGACATAAACACCTCCTAAAAGGTTCTGTCTGCTAATACAATCATTTTGGTTATAAGAATTTTAACATATTAATTTTGGGGGCACTCAGACATTCAAACTATTGCACTGAATTATGTACTATTTTGTTCCACTGTCCAATCTTGCTTCCTACTTTTTCACAGATGTTATTTTCAAGAAATCTCCCTAATTATCTCCCTCAAAAAATATTCAGCTTAGAGTCTACTTCTTGGAAGCACCCAACATTTGATAATATGTACCAAGAGAGGTCAGAAAAAAAGAACAGACAACAAAATGAGATTTTAGAGTTGGATCATACACTACCAGTTGTAATGAGAATCCTATCACTATTGGTACAGAGAACACAAATAGCCCCTGGAATGTGATAATTTAAATTTTTCATACTTTCAGTAATGGTAAATTATGCTGGTAGTATTTTGAAAGGGAAAGCTTTACTTATTAGGATATATCACAAATTTATCAATATGGGAAAAGTAGAAATTATGACCACAATAGAGGCAAATGTTTTTTTCTGCAGAATTAATGCTTGGGAGAAAATAATGGAAGAGTGAGGACCAATAACCATCAAATTAAGGCAAACGGTGAAAGCCAGAAGTCTCCTTGGAAGTGTTACCAGAAAAAGGGGTCTAGATTCAGACACCAAGAGAAGGTTATTGGATTCCACACAGTAAGGAATTCAAGGTCAGTCACAGAGTGCAATGAGAAGACAATTCATTGAAAGCTATGACATTACAGAGTAGGGCATCCTCAGAAGGCAAGGAGTTGAATGCAACACCTTTGTTTTAAGTTTTTCTTATGTAGGAGTCTCATCTCTGTAAAGGTTAATTAAGCTGTGTCTAGTTGTGGGTGGTCAGACAACAGGACAAAACTGATTATTCTATTTATGCCAAGAAAACTATCCTTGACACTTTCTTGTGTGAATACATCAAAACATAACTGTTATTATCTTGAAATCATGTATCGTTTTGGGTATTGGGACATCTGGACTCTTCATTGCAGGTGTGTGTGTTTATAGGGAGCTGAACTTAAAATCACATTACTCTGTCTCTCCTCAGCTCCTGCTTCCCTAACTGCAGCATATACAGAGACTCTCACTTCATGTAGAAGCACCCGGTCCCCACCACCAAATGAATCTGAATCTTAAGTCCAGGACTGAATTTTAAAAATAAGCCCAGCTCAGTTCTAGCTGAATTCCCAGCCTAGTCTGATCACTAACCATATTCAGGGTCTCAGTTTAGATAGAGTGAAATTATAAGACATTTGAGAAATAATTCATTGCAGTTAAAATCTTCAGTTTCTAGACTCCCCTGAACTCCGAATCTGCAAAAGAGGTCCACTCCTTTCTGTTAAGGGATAGCATTTTTCCATTGTTTGAAGATGACATAGTGTCCTTTTCCTTGCAGGACATTTTATACCTCCCCTGTGATTTGCATTTGGAATGATTTCAATTATTGTAAATGTATTCAGTCTTGCTTCATAACAAAGGTTGTTGTTGATCTTAGACTATGTTTCATGTAAAAATGAGTGGAATGTAAATTTCATGGTTGTGGGGTGGAGTGTTCTGCAGAGTGTTAGGTCCAATTGGTCAAGCGTCAAGCTTAAGTCCAGAGTTTCTTTGTTACATTTTTGCCTCAATAATCTGTCTAATGCTGTCAGTGTGGTGTCAACCCCTGCCACTATTATTGTATGACTGTCTAAATCTTTTCATAGGCCAAGAAATACTTGTTTTATAAAGGTGTTTGCACCAATGTTGGATGAGTATATATTTAGGATAATAAAAACTGCTTGTTGGATTGTATATTCTATTATTAGGTCATATCATTTATTTTCTTTTTAAATTTTTATTCACTTAAAGCCTGTCTTACATAATAATAGTAACTCCTTCTCTTTTTCATTTCTTGTTTGCAGGATAGATATTACTGTACCCTTTCATTTCAAGCCTATTATATAATTACATGTAAGATGGGTCTATTGTATACAACATACTCTTGTGTCTGGCGTATCAGATACTCTATGTCTTTTGAGTGGTACATTTAGCCAGTGTACATTCAAAGAGAGTCCCTGTATATGCTGCAAGGTTAGTATTGGTATTTGTGATTTTGATCTTGTCATGGTATGGTTAGCTGGTTGTTATACAGACATGATTGCATGGTTGCTTTATAGTGCCTGTGGACTATGTGTTTAAGTGTGCTTTTGTAGTAGAAGGGGTAATTCTTTTGAATCTATGTGTAGCACGCCCTTAAGGACTTCTTATGTGGCTGATCCACTAGAACTATCTTCTGTTGGCATTTGCTTGCCAGAGAAGCCTTCTTTTTTCTCTTTCCCTTAGTAAGTTTAGTTCAGCAGGATACAAAATTGTTGGTTGAAATTTCTTTTCTTTAAGGACACTGAAAACAGTCCCTAAGTCTCTTCTGGCTTATAAACTTCCTTCTGAGATGTCTGCTGCTAGCTTGATGGGATTCACTCCGTAGGTGACCTGCTCCGTCTGGAAGACTGGTTCTTCAAATCAACCAGTCACAGAAAAATAAATTAAAAAATTAAGAAAAATGAACAGAACATCTGAGAAAATACGATTATCTAAAAAGACCAAATCTCTGACTCATTGGCCTTCCTGAGAGAGAAGTAGAGAAAAGGAAAAAATTTGGATAATATATTTGAGCATATAGAAAGGTCTATTGGGGCTCCTTTGGGGAGAAGTCTGGTAGGAAAATAGGCCACACCCCCACTGAAACAACCCTGTGGAGGAACCTACACAAGACCAAGCATTTGTGTGCCCCAGCAATCCAAGACTGCAGAGAGTGTAGTCTCCTTCCTTGTTCAAGTGCTGAGCATAGCCACCAGCTGGGCACTCCAAAGCTGCAGGTTGCAGCCCTGGGGAACTAAGATCCTGTTTGTGGCTCCATCGTCTGGTCCCTTGGGGTTGGATTTTGGGTGGGGTAAAATGTGAAGGGCTTCCAGGGTGCCAGAATGCATTCAGATGGAGCAAAGCACTCAAACTGGAAAACAGAGGCTGTACTGTGTACAAACTCCTATGGAGCAGCCAGATAGGGGCCCTTGGGTTGAGGGGTCTGGTGGGCCAGTATTCCTGCAGAATATGTGTCACAGTTCCATTTGAAAGTAGGTTCTCCTCTCTCCCCATTGGTTAGCTAAGGCCAGAGCCTATTAGAGGTAGATTTGCGTGGTATGTGGGCACTTATGGTTGGGCTCCACCAGAAATGACCTATGCACAAATGTCCCTGGCTTTTTGTCTGCAGCTCCATCTCTGGGCAATCTCTGGGAGACCCCTCTGCCAGTCCACATGTCCTTGAAGGTATGGAGCCCCATCTAGCCAGGATTCCAGATGTCTACAGTGAGAGGGAGCTATCTACTAGTCCTTTCACTCACACTTCCCTAGAAACTGTTCAGGGCAGAGAACCAGCTGTAGTATTCAGGCACCCCATTGAGCGTCCTCAGCCTTCTTCCTCTTCGGCCTCAGTGACTACTTCTTTTCTCCATCCATATTCAGCATTTTCTCTCCAAAGATCTGTTCAAATTCTGTTGGTATGATTAAAATCCTGGTGTTCCCCTGGTGGCAGTGGCACTTCCTGACTGCATCTAGCTGACCATCTTGAACACATTCCTGTGTATATATTCTTTTGAGAATTCTTTCTTAATGTCCCTGGCCCATTTTTTAATGGAGTTATTTGTGTATGTTTTGTTAATTTGTTTAAGTTCCTTATAGATTTTTGATTTTAGACCTTTTTCAGGTGCATAGTTTACAATTATATTCTCCCATTCTGTAAGTCATCTGTTTATTCTGTTGATAGTTACTTTTGTTGGACAAAGGCTTTTTAGTTCAGTTATGTTCTATTCTCTTGATTTTATTCTAGGATTTTATAGTTTTAGGATACTGTACTAGCCTCTTCTCATGCTCTTACAAAAGACATACCTGAGACTGGGCAATTTATAAAGGAAAGAGGTTTAATAGATTCACAGTAAAACATGGTTTGGGAAGCCTCACAATCATGACAAAAGGCAAGTGAGAAGTAAAGTCATGTATTACATGGAGGCAGGCAAGAGAGCTTGTGTAGGGAAACTCTCCTTTATAAAACCATAAGATCTCAAGAGACTTATTCACTATTACGGGAATAGCATGGGAAAGATGCACTACCATGATTCAATTACCTCTCACCAAGTTCCTCCCACAATATGTGGGAATTATGAGAGCTACAATTCAAGATGAAATTTGGGGGAGGACACAGCCAAATCATATCATTCTTCCCTTGGCACCTTCCAAATATCAGATCCCCACATTTTAAAACCAATCATGCACTCCCATCAGTTCCCCAAAGACTTAACTAATTTCAGCATTAAGTCAAAAGTCCATAGTCCAAAGTCTCATCTGAAGTAAGGCAAGTCTTTTTAGCTATGAGCCTAAAAATCAAAAGCAAGTTAGTTACTTTCTAGATACAATGAAGAAACGGCTTTGGTTAAATACACTCCTTCTAAATGGCAGAAATTGGCCAAAAAAAGGGCCTACAGGCCCCACGCAAGTCTGAAATCCAGGTAAGGCAATAAAATCCATGGGTCAGTCATTGCCAAAAGGATCTTCTTTGACTCCATTGTCTCAAATACAGGTCACACTGATGTAAGAGGTGGGCTCCCATGGTCTTGGGCAGCTCAACCCCTGTGGCTTTGCAGGGTACAGCCCTCCCGTTGGCTGCTTTCATGGGCTGGCATTGAGTGTCTGTGGCTTTTCCAGTTGGATGGTCTAAACTGTTTCTGGATGTATCATACTGCAGTCTGGAGGATGGTGGCCCACTTCTCCCAGCTCCACTAGGTAGTGCTCTGGTGGAGTCTGTGTGTGGGTGTGTTGGGGGCACTCACAACACACATTTTCCTTTCACACTGTGCTAGCAGTGTTTCTCCATGAGGGTCTCGCCCCTGCAGCAAACTTCTGCCTGAACATCCAGCCATTTCCTTACATCTTCTGAAATCTAGGCAGAGGTTCCCAAGCCTCAATTATTAACTTCTGTGTACCCACAGGCTCAACACCACATCAAAGCTGACAATCTTCCAAGGCTTGGGGCTTGCCCCACTGAAGCCATGGCTTGAGCTCTACCTTGGCTCCTTTTAGCCACAGCTGAGACAAAGGGGACCGAGTTCTGAGACTGCACAAAGCAGCAAGATGCTGGGCCTAGCCCACAAAACCATTTTTTCCTTCTAGGCCTCCCAGTCTGTAATGGGAAGGGCTTCAGCCAGGAAGACCTCTGACATGCCCTGGAGACATTTTCCCCATTTTCTTGGCAGTTGGTTTCTAATTACTTATGCAAGTTTCTGCCGCCAGCTTGAATTTCTCCTCAGAAAATGTTTTTTTTTCCTTTATACCATATCGTCAGGCTATGAATTTTCCAAACTTTTATGCTCTGCTTCCCTTTTCAACATAAGTTCCAATTCCAAACCACATCTTTGTAAATACATAAAATGGAATGCTTTTGACTGTACCCAAGCCACCTCTTGAATGCTTTGCTGCTTAGAAATTTCTTCCACCAGATGCTCTAAATCAGCTCTCTCATGTTAAAAGTTTCACAAATCTCTAGGGCAGGAGGAAAATGCCACCAGTCTTCACTAAAACAGAGCAGAGTCACCTTTTCTCCAGTTACCAACAAGTTCCTTATCTCCATCTGAGACCACCTCTGCCTCGACTTTATTGTTGATATCACTATCAGCATTTTGTTCAAAGCATTCAACAAGTCTCTAGAAGGTTTCAAACTTTCACACATCTTTCTGTTTTCTTCTGAGTCCTCTAAACTGTTCCAACCTCTGCCTGTTACCTAGTTCCAAAGTTGCTTCCACATTTTCTGATATCTTTACAGCAGTATGCCACTACCTAGTACCAATTTACTGTATTAGTCTATTCTTATGCTGTTAATAAAGACATACCCAAGGCTAGTTAATTTATAAAGGAAAGAGGTTTAATGGGCTCACAGTTTCACATAACAAGGGAGACCTCACAATTATGGCAGAAGGTGAATGAGGAGCAAAGTCACATCTTACACAGCAGCAGGTAAAATAGCTTGTGTAGGGAAACTCTCCTTTATAGAACAATTATATCTCATGAGACTTATTTACTGTCACAAAAACAACATGGGAAAGACCCACCCCTATGATTAAATTACCTCCTGCTGGATCCTTCCCACAACATGTGGAAATTATGGGAGCTACAATTCAAGATGAGATTTGGGTGAGGACACAGCCAAACCATATTAGTTAAACAGTTACATCTTTAACCCATCTTCAGTTGGTTTTTGCATATGGTAAAAAGAAGATATCTAGTTTCAGTCTTCTGCATATGGCTAGCCAGTTATTTAGTACCATTTATTGAATAGTGAGTTGTTTCCCCAATGTTTGTTCTTATTGACTTTGCTTAAATCAGATGACTGTAGGTGTAAAGCTTTATTTCCGCTTCTTTAACTGGTTCCATGGGTCTATGTGTCTGTTTTTGTACCATTACCATGCTGTTTCAGTTATTGTAGCCTTGTATTATAGTGTGAAGTTGTGTATTTTGATGCCTCTCTTTGTTTTTGTTCTTAGACCTGTTTTGACTTTTGGGCTATTTTTGGTTTCATAGGAATTTTAGAGTTTTTTTTCTAATTGCATTGAAAATGTTCATGGTAGTTTGATAGAAATAGCACTGAACCAGTAAATTACTGTGGGCAGTATGATCACTTTAACAATATTAATTCTTTCTATAATTGAGCATGAAATATATTTCTTTTTGTTGCTGTTGTTTCTAATTTTTTCAACAGCATTTTGTAATGTTTAGGGTAGAGATTTCTCACCTCCCTGGTTAGCTGTATTTCTGGGTATTTTATTTGTGGCTGTTGTAAATAGTAGTACATTCTTGATTTAGCTCTCACCTTGGATGTTGTTGGTATAAACAAATGGTACTGATATTTGTGTAACACCGAAAGTTCTTGCCTTAGCCATGCCAAAAATTTGGTGTGGCGGCAGCCCCCTGTGAGAGAGAGACGCGTATCCGACTAAGAGAAAAAAAAAAAGCCCTAGGCTTTATTGAGCAGAGTGACAGTACAAAGCTTCCACAGCGTGGAAGTGGTCCCTAGCGGGTAGCCAGTGTTCGATTTTTTTGTCACCTTTTAAACTCTTTAAGGTGGGAAATACATGTGGTGGGAAGATGTTACCAGAGTGAGAAACAAAGGCAATTAACATGTTTTAGGTCTTAAGGAAAACCGGAATTCTAACTTAAGTTTTATCTACTTTATAACCTTGCAGCCACATGGCAAAGGAGACAGAATCTCACAGGATTTTACAAATTGTGTTAACAAGGAATTGGATCTGGGAGCATAGATAAGGTCTGCTGGTCACAAAAAGAAACTGGCTTTTACCATTCCTTTTTGTTTCAGGGGAGGGGGAAGGGAGAGTGGGAGTGAGGACACAGGGAAGCTTACAGCAAAAGTTTTGCTGTTTATAGCTTTCTTGGGGGAAGAAAACACATGCACAAATTCTGATGTTAGGAATATTTTAAGCATATATCTTCAATATTATTCATCCAGTATGAGAGTAAGTCCTGATACAGGAAATGAGTGAGTTTCACAGCTTTCTGAGCCCCTACTCGACCCAGGAAGCCCAGCTGGAACCTCCTCAGTCCCCCCTCTAGACAGGACACACCAATTGCTGTTGGGAACTGGCAGCAGTCGTTCTGGCTACTTCCTGATGGTTAGGGGTGAAGAAGGGGCCCTGCAGTTGTGGTGTCCTCCAGAGGGGAACTTTTTAGGCTAGTGAGGGACCAGCAGGTGGATCCAGGGGTTCTCAGTAGAAGCCGTGAGTTGAGTTCATTTGAGGTTCCATTTGTAAGTCCATTTGCAGCTTGATGGCCTTGATCCTGGAGGAGACAAATTTGACAAGGAGGTTAAAAATGCAAGGCCCGAAAGCGAGTAATAGTAGGATGACTGTCACAGGGCTTAGAAAGGGGAGGAGCCAAGGTACACATTTGTTAAACATATTCCAGGGCCCTGAGTGTTAAAGCTCCTTTTTGTCTACTTTCTATTTGTTCTCTTATTTCTTTAACCTTTTCAGTAATGATTCCTGACTGGTTAACGAAATAGCAACATTCTTCTCCTAAGAAGAGGCAGGTTCCTCCTCTTTCAGTTGTTAATAAGTCTAGGGCTCTCTGATTTTGAAGGACTACCACAGCTAGACAATTAAGCTGGCTTTGTAGGGTCACTAGGGAGTCGGCAACTCATTCCATGTCATCATTTAATTCTCGTGATAATTTATAATAGAATTGGGTGGAGGAGGTTATGCCTCCAATTCCAGTCCCAAGCCTGCCTAGTATTCCTGCTCCTACTGTAAAAGGGACAATAAGGGCTCGGGTGTGGCGAGATTGGGGTATAAGGAGACTTTGTAACTCTTGTTCAGTATATATGGACATGGGAGGTGCTAGAAATGAGACATAGCATAGTTCTTTTGGAGTGCCATTTTGGCATCGATAGGCTGTGTTATCACAGATGAAAAAAATTTCCTGAAGGTAGATAGGTGAAACCTGAGGTCTTGCCCTAGTCTCCACTATTTGGTTTTTGTATTCCTAGGATTGGGGTGTTTCAAAGACTGCTACATTTTTTTACTAAACCTTGAGCTTTTAAATTTCTAACAATATCCTGTAATCCTTTGAGAACTTCAGGCCTTAAGTGATATTTCCTTTGATAAGGAAAAGTGGTGGTGTCTTTTAGCTTGATGTGGACTGGATGGATATTCTTTGCCCTTCCAAATTGTCCTTCTAAGGCCCAGAGCTCAAAGTTGATTTCTTCTTCAAGTAGGGGACAACAAATGGGTCACTTGTTCCCCATATTCATGTAGATAATGGCCCCAGCTTTGGCAAATATGTCTCTCCCTAATAAAGGTGTGGGACTTTCAGACATAACAGAAAAGGCATGTGAAAGAGCAAAGTCTCTCAATTGCAGCTGAGGAGGCGAGAGAAATACCTGGTTACAGGCTGTCCTAAGATTCCTCAGATAGTAACGGACTTTGAGAACAGTCATCTGGGTCAGGGGATTAAAATTGAGAAGGCCGCGCCAGTGCCCAGGAGGAAGTCCACTTCCTGGCCCTCAATGGTTAAACTTACCCGGGGCTCTGTGAGGGTGATGGCATGAGCTGGCACTTGCCCCAGGCACCCTCAGTCCTGTTGCTGAATAATCTGGTTGGGTGCTTCTGGTCCAGAGGACCTTCATCCTTTGGGGCAGTGCACCTTCCAGTGATTTCCTTGGCATATTGGACAGGGGTGAGGGGGCAGTTTGTTTTTTGTTGGACAATCTTTCTTAAAGTGTCCTTGCAAACCACACTGATAACAAGCCCTGCTAGGCAATTGGTCTGCTCCTCTCTTGGTTCCCTCTGAGCCACCAAAGTCTGCCTGTCTGAAGTCCATGACTAAGGCTGCAGCCTTTCTCTTATCTCGCTTTTCACTTTCGGCCTCTTCCTCTCGGTCCCTGTTATAGAGCACCGAGGTTGCCAGGTTTAATAATGTCTCTAAATTTGTTCTGGGCCTAAAGTAGACTTTTGCAGTTTTCTCCTAATGTCAGCAGCTGATTGGGTGATAAATTTATCCTTTAAAATAAGCTGGCCTTCTACGGAATCTGGACTTAAGGATGTGTGCTTTCTTAGGGCCTTCCTTAGTCTTTCTAGAAAAGCCGAGGTGTTTTCCTCCTTTCCCTGTGTAATTGTGGATAGCATTGAGTAGTTCGTAGCCTTTTTCCTAGTCTTCCTCAAGCCTTCTGAAATGCAAGTTTGCAAATGCCTGCAGCTCCAATCTCAATGATCTGAGTCAGTATCCCAATGAGGGTATACACTGGGGACTGCCTGTTGCCCTGTGGAGAATTTTTCCCTCTCCTCCAGGGTCATTCAATCATTTACATGGCTAAGGTACCACAGATCCCCAAATTGCCAGGCTACTGCTAAAGCCGCTTCTTTTTCAGTAGGACTTAAGGTCTGATCAAGAAGCAACATGGTATCTGTCCATGTTAGATCAAAGGACTGCATCAATCCTTGAAGGACATCTATATAGTTATCAGGACATCTGAGAATCTCCCTATATCTGCCTTTTTTTTGTTTTAAGTCTGAGAGTGAGAAGGGGGCATGCACGTGAATGGGCCCAAATTTTCCTCCTACTGCTTATAAGGGACATAGTTTCAGTGCCTGACTCATGGAATTTATCTTCTCTTGCTGGTGTGCCTTTAACACCTCAGTGGGGCCGGATGGAGGAGAGTCAGTGTGGGAGAAGAGTGGGGCTGAGGGAAGAGGCCCTGAGTATGGAGGCAATTGTGGGCCTCTGTCATTTGGGAAAAGCTTGCAGGCTTGGCACACGGCAATATTGTGATGAAGGGCAAAGAAACTCTGTACCTAAGGGAATTCACTCCATTTACCTTCCTGTTTACAGAAAACATCTAATTGTAGAAGGGTGTTATAATTAATACTTCCCTCAGGGGGCCAAGTTTCTCCATTTTGTAAGGAATACTGTGGCCAGGCAGTGGCACAGAAGACAATCAGCCACTTCTTTTTTAAGGTTTCAGGGTCGAATTTGTCCCAGTTATTCAGGATACATTTTAAGGGAGTGTCTGGTTTGGAAGGTGTGGTGCCCATCTGGAATTTTACACACCGGGATGTCCGCAATCCTGGTTAGTCCTGGGACTCATCTTCCCTTAGGCCGTCCCCCAAGGGTCAGGCCCAATTGTGCTCAAAGCTCATGGCCGCTTTTCCCGAGCCCTCCATCTACCGGATTTAACCATGCTTACACGTGGGATGGAAACTTCCCTTGCCCCTGCTGTGCGCCCATTGACCACTAAATGGGGCACAAAGACTGTTGGATTTATTGTCATTCTTCTGCCAATGCATCCTACCTGTTCCATGGCGGCAAGGCCTGGGTCTGGGGCACCACTGATGCCTGCATGCTAAGGCTCAATTTATGTGGGCCTGGCCATAAAACTGTCCTTCAAGGAGAAATCTCTGAATTAGCAACAGGAGGCTTAGTAAGCTTAAAGGGGGTGGTAGATGTCCTCTAGGCCAGGGCTGAGAGAACCGCTGCTGTACTCTAGCCTTCTGTCCCTACTTGCCATCAAAGGAGTAAGCCCCTCTCTTACGGCGGTGCCAGTATCCTGTGTCCCAACTGACTATATTTTCTTCCTTCCAATTCCAACTATTGAATAGTTCAAATAGCAACTCAGTGGCTCTAAGAGCTGTCCCCATGCACCACAGATTGTACTTGAGAGGCCCCAAGGAAGGGGAAAGTTTATCTGGGGAGCAATGGAGGAAATGCCCTTAGCTTGGAAAAAGAAGGCCTTGTAACAGAGATAGGAATTATCATTATATATCTAGCTATTTCTCACTTTATTTAGAAAATCCATTATCATAGAACTTGGTTGATGGATAAAGTAAGGCATTCACTTTTTTTTTTATTTTATAGACAGAAGCTGGGTTTCTGTCCATAATTTAAAAATGTCATCTGTTGTTTATATTGATATAATGGTTTGAAAACAGTACGAGTCAAGATTTGCAGTATTAAAGGAAACCTGAATTTTGAAATTTTATCTCCTTTTGTGGGAAGTAATTTTAAGAATCAGATATAGAGTTTAAAATTTAAATAAATTTCTGTCGGATCTAGGAAAGATTATTTTGATATATTTGTGTTTTTCTCTGTGAAATTTGTGATCATCAATTTAAATAAAAACCACAATACCATTTTCCCAACATTTCAATGAATTATTTGATTTCCTGTAAAGAAATAATTTGTACATCAATAAAAGTAATGCATTATGTAAATTTCAAAAATAGATGCATATAATTTTAATAGCTTTACTGAAGTACAATTGATATACAAAAAACACCTGTAAGTATTTTATACATATATATTTATATTATTTATATATATATAAATTGATGAGTTTGGACATGTACAAGCACCCATGATGCTATCATTATAACAGTGAAGGTAATTAACATATCCATCACCTACAAAACTTTCTTTGTCACTCTTTGTTTTTGATGGTAATAATGCTTAACATGAGATTGACCCTCTTAACACATTATTAAGTGTACAATACCATGTTGTTAACTAGGCATTATATTGCAGAGGAAATCTCTATGCTTATTCATAAGCATAAGTGAAACTTTATACCCACTGAACAACAGCTCCCCATTTCTCTCTCTCCCAAACCCCTGGAAAACACTATTTTATTATCTGCTTCAATTAATTTGCCTATTTTATTTAACTAATATAAGTGGAATCATAAAATATTTGTTCTTCTTGAACTTGCTTAATTCACTTAGCATAATAACCTCTAGGTTCATCCATGTTGTCGCAAATGGTATTTTTTGTCAAACCTTGGCAACTGAATTAACATGTCCATTGCTTCCGTGTACACAGAAATGATTCTAACTGAACTTATGAAAATAATTATATCGATATCAAATTAAAATGCTCATGAATAGTTTTTGAATTTTTGTAAAATCAGATATGGAGAAAAATCACAAATTTATCGTTATTTTAATGAATAAAAAATATTTAGGATCTTGAAATAATTAGCAATGTGAAACTAATTAGGAAAATTGAGATTTTCAGATTGTTCTAATGTGTTTTGATTATTATTAAAATAATGGTAATAAATCTTAGTTATATTTCTATACTTACTTTAAAATACATACATATATATATATATAGAGAGAGAGACATTGTGAGTAAGTTAGTGTATATGTCTATGTGGGTATATGTTTTCTTTAATTGATGTTCTAGCAGCAGTTATCCAGTGTTTGTCATTTCCTAATTAATATTACATCCCAGAAACAACTCCCAAAACTTTAAATTTGTACATTTTCTGTGTCTTCTTTCTAATAAATGCATGTATGTTTTGAACAATACTGTCTGAATTGTTTCATTTTAGGATACCACATGATAGTATGGTGAAGGGGTGTGAGGACAGGCAGGCAGAGATGGGAGAAACAGAGACACAGAGAGAGAAAGAAAGAAAGAGAGAGAGAGAACTTATTATAGTGAAGCCTTTCTTATCTTTGTATCATGAGGGGCTAGCTCACGACCTGGCATGAATGGAGCTCATAAAGTGTATATTAAAATAGATAGGGCACTTATGACATGGTTTAGGTCATTCATATTCTAAATTTAATGTAACAGGTTCATTCTAGTCTAAATATATATGTTAGGCTTTACAATATAGTAAAATATTGTTACTTTTATACCTATGATATAGGTTTAAATTTGAGAGCACCCACAATATTTATTAAAAATGCTCCTTAAATAAACTTAAAAATATACTACTACCTAAATGTAATGTCACTGATTTTATTATTGAGTCTCCATTTTTTTTCTTGTAAAAGGAACTTACAATGATAATACATAAGTAAAACTGTAATAATTATGCCTACTAGACACATAAAAGCTTGGAATTGAAGAATAATATTATAATACCCTTGGTTAGGTTATGATTTAAATATAGAATTATGGTATTCTAAATTCTCAAACATATATCAGCAATATTTCTTAGTGATGGTACTGATTTCATTAGAATTTTAAATGTGCATCATTTCTGTGAGCTGACACAGAGGAATCATGATTAAATAAATCAAAATAGTATTAATGCTCAATGACATGGGGTAGAGAGAAATATTTAATTTTTAAGTTAGAATTTAGGCATTCAAAACAAGAATCACAGGAATAACAAAAGGACATAACTCTGAACTATGCACACCAGATAAGCATAAAATTTATTTTGCAAATGTTTTTGCAGTTTAGTCCTTTGCATCAGTTTATATTGTGGGAAAGTAAGGGAGCAAGAACAGCTGAAATGATATAACACATAAAAATATCAGATAATTTTTATTATAAACAGATATAAGCTGAATTTGAAAACACCATTGATAAGAAATTAAAGGGGAATATATTTCCCATTTCTTCCTTTTGTATGTAAGTCCAAAGCCTAAAATTATGATTCTTTATAGAACTATCTCTCCGCTTTTCTGTCATTTGTCAAAAGAAGAATAAAATCAATATTTATTTTTAGGACTACATTACTGCATCATGAACCTAAACTTAATGCTGACTCTAGAAACCAAGTCAAACCATTAAGAAATGTAAACCGTGTGCAAATGAGATTAAATGCAATAAAATCACATCTGATATAAAAGGCACAGAGATACTACAAAGAGTAAGATACATCAGAAAGGGCTTAGGTGAAAATATAATAAATATTCCTTTTCTAAAATGTTATGGTAGCAATAGTTTACTACATAGGCTACAAAAAAAAATTGTCAGCATTTCCATACTTACCAAAATGAGTATGAAACCTCAGGCTCACTAAATCAGTATCTTTTTTAAACTATTACTATACTACAGTATCATTTCAACAGTGTTAAAGATTTAATCACAATTTAAATGTTAAGTATTAAAAATTAGGATAATACACCTTTACTATGACCTATACTATTCATACCATTCTGGAAATATAACATATAATACTAGCAGATCACAAAGTACATAGACCAATACCCTCTCAAAACCAAAAACAAACAAACAAACAAAAAATACAAACCAAAACATTCAGCCTCTGTATTTAAGGCATGTTTTTCATTAATACTGATGTGCTTCCAGGAATATACAAAGAAGAGGTGAGACATCGGTATTCCCATGAGAAACCAGAAACGAATATACAAATGAAACGTTGAGAAGCCCAGCCATCAACTCTCCATTGTAACATAAAGGGTTAGCAAAACAAAAAAAACTTGGCTGCCTACAGCCTGCTGAGTAACTCCTCAGCAGGAGGAGTTTTATTTATTATAGCACTGTCATACACACTTTCAGATATGCAGTTTTATTTTTATATTCTATTTCTGACAGTTTTATTTGCCTGCCACACCATGAAAGACTGCAGTTCTAAAGAAGCTGTTAGGAGAAAAGTATAGATATCTTCTGTGAGGGTTTCTTAGTTACTGAAAGTAGGAGAACCTTCACATTAAATAGAATCTTGGTATAATCAAGCAGAAGGCTTGGTGGAAGTATTAACATGGTTATCTCATGTCCATCAAGCTGGAGTTTTTCTAGAATAACTTTTAAATTGAGTGACTAAAATTTATGGGCCGGATAAGTACTTTTCCAGACTTTCCAGAGTCAAAGAAACACAGATTCAGCAGAAAAACAAAATAAAACAAAACATAAAAAAACAGAAGCTATTCACAGTTTTCCAGTTTTCATGACCAACTCTTCCTTTAATTTACGCTGGGCTTAAGATAAATTCAGCAAGCTCATAAGCCAAATTAATCCTAAGTGTGTTTCATGCTTCAATTTCTCAATCAATTGATGGTGACTGAGTCTGAACTTTGGACAGCCTACTTATCTCAATAGTCAAAGTGGAATATAGCTGACTTCATGGAAAAGATCATCAAATTAAGCAACATAGCACAAATTACATAAAAGCTTTCTAAAATAATTTTATAGAATAGGAATTTATGCACTTACAATTAAATACAGTGGAAAGGATTTCTAGTTGAGTGTAAGAAAGTTTGTCATAAGATCTTAATTTTTCTAATAAGATGTTTTTCATTATCTTCTTTAGATTTATTAGAATGTTCATTTGGACATCGTATTTCACTTTGTTTTCTTAATGTTGGGATAATAGAAAGCATATATGTTGAGAATGCATACTCTGCTATTGGTATTTTTTGGCAAAATGTATATATTATTTTGAAATATTAAATAGTGCTTATGAGCTGAATCATGGCTCATTACTCCAAATTCATTTGTTTGTGTTCTAACACCCAGTTCCTCAGAATAGGTCTACATTTGGAGACAGGGCCATTAAGGAAAACAATAATATAAAATGAGGACATATAGAGGATGTCTTATATGAACATAAGGACAAACACAGAGAAGAAAGTCCACGTAAAACCACTGAAGGAAGGCAACCATCTACAAACCAATCATTGAGGATTTAGAAGGAAACAACACTGTTAATCGTACCTTGATTACACTTGATTACACACTTCTAGCCTCCTGAATTTTGAGAAAATATGTTTCTTGTTTAAGCCATCTAGCCTGTGGTACTTTATTATGGCAGCCCTAGACATCTAATAGAGTGGTATATAGAAATACACTTGAAGTTTGAATGTTGATGTTATATATGAAATGAATTTTGAGAGCATCAGGTATGTATTAAAGTATGAAAGAAGGATTATGCACTGTTTGGAAGATGATACATACATAACTATATGCTTATCAAATTTGGTCATTTGAGAAAAAAAAACCTTATATGGTTCCTGGAACATACTGTTTATTTTCTGATTATTCCTTTGCACATTGAATAACTGTATCCAGATTAGCTTTTATTTTTCATAAATTTGAGCTAGTAACAACCATTCACTTCAAATTTATTAATACATTATCTTGCTCAATAATATAAAATATATTTTGAGCACTTGATAATATAAAGCTAAGTCTCTTTCTTTCGCTTTCTTTTCTTTCTTTCTGTTTTCTTTCTTTCTTTCCTTTCTTTCTTTCTTTCTTTCTTTCTTTCTTTCTTTCTTTCTTTTCTTTCTTCTTTTTTTTCCTTTACTTTTTACGCACAAGTTCCAGGATACATGTGCAGAACGTGCAGGTTTGTTACATAGGTATAAGTGTGCCATGGTGATTTGCTGCATCTATTGATCCATCCTCTAAGTTTCCTTCCCTCATGCTCCACCTCCCAATAGGCCCTGGTGTGTGTTGTTTCCCTCCCTGTGTCCATGTGTCCTCATTGTTCAACTCCCCCTTATGAGTGAGAGCACACAGTGTTTGGTTTTCTGTTCCTGTGTTAGTTTGCTGAGGATGATGGTTTCCAGCTTTATTCATGTCTCTGAAAAGGAGTTGATCTCATTCCATTTTTGGCTGTGCAGTATTTGGTGGTGTCTATGTACCACATTTTCTTTATCTCATCTGTCATTGATGGGCATTTACGTTAGCTCCATGACTTTGCTACTGTAAATAGTGCCACAATAAACATATGTCTGCATGTGTCTTCACAGCAAAATGATTTATATTCCTTTAGGTGTATACCCAGTAATAAGACTGCAGGGTCAAATGGTATTTCTGTTTCTAGATCCTTGAGAAACTGCCAGTATGGCATCTCAATAGATGCACAAAACAGGTCTCTGGTAAAATTTAACATCCCTTCATGTTAAAAACTCTCAGTAATCTAGGCATTGATGGGACATAACTCAAAATAATAAGAGCTATTTGTGACAAATGCATAGCCAATATCACATTGAATGGGCAAAAGCTGGAAGCATTCCCTGTGAAAAAAGGTACAAGACAAGGATGCCCTCTCTCTACACTCTTATTCAACATAGTATTGGAAGTTAGGACTAGTGCAGTCAGGCAAGAGAAAGAAATAAAGGGTATTCAAATAGGAAGATAGGAAGTCAAATTGTCCCTGTTTGTAGGTGACATAATTTTTCATTTAGAAAACCCCGTCATCTCAGCCCCCAAACTCCTTAAACTGATAAGCAAAATCAGCAAAGTCTCAGTATACAAAATCAATGTGCAAAAATCACAAGGATACCTTTACCCTAACAATAGACAAGCGGAGAGCCAAATCAAGAATCAACTCCCATTAACAATTGCTACAAAGAGAATAAAATACCTAGGAATATAGCTAACAAGGGATGTGAATAACTGCTTCAATGAGAACAACAACCCACTGTGCAAGGAAATGAGAGAGGATGAAAACAAATGGAAAACACTTTTCATCGTCACAGACAGGACAAATCAACATTGTGAAAATGGCCATACTGCCCAAAGTATTTTATAGATTCAATGCTATTCCCATCAAACTACCATTGACATTCTTCGTAGAATTAGAAAAAAGCTACTTTGAATTTCATATGTAATCAAAGAACACCCTGTATAGCCAAGACAATCCTAAGCAAAAAAACAAAATTGGAGACATCGTGCTACCTGACTTTGAACTGTAATAAAAGGCAACAGCAACCAAACAGCATGGTACTTGTACCAAAGCAGGTATATAGACCGATGGAACAGAAAAGACACCTCAAAAATAACACCACACATCTGCAACCATCTAATCTTAGACAAATCTGACAAAAACAAGCAATGGGGAAAGAATTCCCTATTTAATAAATGGTGATCAAAAAACTGGGTAACCACATGCAGAAAACTGAAACTGGACACCTTCCTCACACCTTATACAAAAATTAACCCAAGGAAGATTAAAGACTTAAATGTAAAACCCAAAACCATAAAAGTCATAGAAGAAAATCTAGGCAATACCATTCAGGACGTAGATATGGGCAAAGACTTCATCATGAAAACACAAGAAACAATTGCAACGAAAGCCAAAGTTGACAAATGGGATCCAATTAAACTAATGAGCTTCTGCACAGCAAAAGAAACTACCATCAGAGTGAACAGGCAACCTACAGAATGGGAGAAAAATTTTGCAATCTACCCAGCTGACAAAGGTCTATTATCTACAATTAAATTTATTTAATTTACAAGGAACTTAAATAAATTTACAAGAAAAAACAAAACCATTAAGTACTGGTCGAAGAATATAAAGAGCCACTTCTCAAAAGATGACATTTATGCAGCCAACAAACATACGGAAAAAAGCTCAACATCACTTATCATTAGAGAAATGCAAATCAAAGCCAAAATGAGATACCATCCCATGTCAGTCAGAATGATGATTATTAAAATGTCAAGAAACAATAAATGCTGGTGAGGCTATAGAGAAACAGGAATGCTTTAACACTGTTGGTGAAAACGTAAATTAGAGCTAGGTCTTTAATATTATGTTGATTAATTGATTGATTTCCAACACAAACCAAGTTCAAAGTAGATGAGTAATTAGAAAACAAAACATACTGAGTTAAAAAATTAATAAATAAAAAGAGTCTGGTTGGTAAAAACACTAATTTCAAGGGAGTTTTTTTGAAGTTTAGTGAAACTTAAGTTATTTAACATTCAAAAATAAATAAATAAAATAAAACTTTCAATTTTCTCTGTAACTGCTGAGTGATTGATTGTGTTAAAAAAGTTACCATACATTTTCCCATCTTAACAGTTTTTAAGTTTGCAGCTGAGCAATGTTAAGTATATTTACATTTTTGTGCCACAGGTTTCTAGAAAATTTTCATCTTGGAAAACACATTGAACAACACCCCATTTTCCCTTTACTCCAGCCCCTGGTATCCACTATTCCACTTTTTCTTTCTATGGATTTTACTAGTTTTGATACCACATGTATGTGAAATTATTTATATGTGTATTTATCTTTTTTTGACTGGCTTATTCAACTTACTATAACATCCTCAAGCTTCATCAATGTTGTTACATATGATAAAATTTTCTTTTTTTAAAAGCTAAATAATCTTTCATTTCATGTATATACCATGTTTTCTTTATCCATTCATCCATCCGTGGACATTTGTGTTGCTTTCCTCTTTTGACTATTGTGAATAATGTTGCAAAATACATGGATGTGCAAATATGTCTTTGAGATCTTGCTTTTAATTATTTTGGATAAATGCCTAGAAGTAACATTGTTGGGTCATATGGTAATTTTATTTTAATTTTTTTGAGGAAACTTCATACTCTTAGCTATAGGGCTGTCATCATTTTTCATTCCTACCAACAATGCACAGGAGTTCCTATTTATATATATTATCTTCAATACTTTTTGTTTTCTGGGCTCTGTGTGTGTGTGTGTGTGTGTGTGTCTGCGTGTGTGTGAATATATGTATTCAAAAATGTTTTGAGGTGGCTAATGGTTATGATGTCATAGCTCATTGTAGTTTTGATTTACATTTCTCAAATATTTAGTGATGTTAAGCATCTTTTCATATGCTTTTTGGCCATATGTCTACATTTTCTGAATAAACGTGTATTCAAGTCTTTGAATTATTTTAATTGGGTTTTTGCTATTAAACTATAGAGAATTGTCATATATGTATATAAAACACTTAGCAGATAAGTGATTTACCAATATTTTCTCTCTTGCAACCTATTTATTTCTATGACATCAATTGTAATGTCTTCTCTTTCATTTCTGATTTGTTATTTTTTTTTTCTTTTAGACTGGGTCTCTGCTCTGTCCCCAGGCTGGAGCGCAGCAGCAGCATCATCTTGGTCACTGAAACCCTCACTTCCGAAGTTCAAGCGATTCTCTCACGTCAGCCTCCTGAGTAGCTGGGACTACAGGTACATGCCACCACACCTGGCTAATTTCTGTAGTTTTAGTAGAAACAGGTTTTCACTATGTTGCCCAGACTGGTCTTCCACTCCTGTGCTCAAGCAGTCTGCCTGCCTTGGCATTCCAAACTGCTGGGATTACAGGATTAAGCCCCCAAGCTCAGGCTGATTTTAATTATACAACTATTCACTGTTTTTTTTAGTCGAGAAAATGATTTCTCAATTTTGTTGATCTTTTCAAAAAAAAGAAAGCAATAATTCAGTTTTGCTGATTTTTCTCTATTTCCTATTGCATTTATGTCTGTTGTAATCTTTATTACATTTTTCTTTCTGATAATTTTGGTCAGTTCTTTGATATGTAAAGTTAGATTCTTTTAGATATTTCTTCTTTTTAACGTAGGCATTTATTACTATAAACTATCCTCATAGTACTGTTTTTGCTACTTTTGTAAGTTCAGTTTCCTTTTTTTCACTACTTTTTTTGTATCTTTTACAGCAAGCTTGTCCAACCTGCAGCCTGAGAGCTGCATGCAGCCCAGGATGGCTTTCAATGCAGCTCAGCACAAACTTGTAAACTTTCTTCAAACATTGTGATTTCTCTTGCGATTTTTTCCCAGCTCATCAGCTATGGCTAGTGTTAGTGTATTTTGTGTGTGGCCCAAGGTGATTCTTCTTTTCCTAATGTGGTCCAGAGAAGGTAAAAGATTGGACACTCTTGTCCTATAGGTATATTTTGTGGTTACCATGAGGATGGCATAAAACATATTCTAGTTATAACAGTCCATTTTAAACCGAACAAAAACTTTAATTATATATGAAAAATCTATTCCTTTTCATCTCCCATTCCTACTTTATGTTAGTAATATCACTAGTTATATATTTTATGTTGTGTCCCAATTAATCCAAATGTAATGTTACTTTTATGCTTTTCTCTTTTAAATTGCATATCAGAATTGGAAGTAACTTGTGCATCAACATTAAGAACTTACGGGACTTTATAATTAATTATATATTTATCTCTACCAGATAGATTTATATTTTAACATTCATTCGTTTTGCTACCTACCCTCCCTCATTTCAACATGAATGACTCCTTTTTGCTTTGCTTGTAGGACAGGTGTGGTAATATTTACCTTCTTCAAACTTTTTTTTAACCCAAGAAAATATTCTATTTTGCGTAATTTCTGAATGACAGGTTTGCCAAATGAATCTCTTATGTGGTTGGGTTTTTTTCTTGTTTTTCTTTCAACACTTTGAATATATTATGTTGCTTAGCTTTGGTTTGAAAGGATATCTGCTGGTATCTTGTTGATAACATTATGTGAGTTCCCATTTATGTCATGATTTATTTTTCTTTTTCTGCTTCCAAGATTCTTCCTTTGTCTATGACTTTTGAAAGACTAATTATAATATTTATTGGTGTAAAATTTTTGAACTGATCTCAGTGTACAGTAGTTGTGTTTCAAAACAATTCTATGTCCGTGTTCTTCCTCAAATTTGGGAAATATTCTGCCTGCCATTATTTCTTTAAATAGACTTTTTGTCTCAATCTTTTCCTCTTCTCCCATGAGGACTCTCATAATGCATAACTGGTCAGGTTAACAATGTCCCATAAGTCTCAGGCTTTCTTCACTTTATTATCACATTCTTTTTGCTCCTCTCCCTTAAAAGTTTCAAGTCACCAATATTGTCAAATTCATGAATTATTTTTTCTAGCTGATCAAGTCATCTATTGAATTTCTCTTGTAAATTTTTCAATTTAATTATTGTATTATTTACCTCCAGAATTTCTATTTGGTTCTTTTCTATACTTTTTATGTCTTTGTTGATACTCTTATTTTATATATGCATTATTTTCCTGATTTTTAAAAACTTGTCTGTGTTTTTTTAGGTAATCGAGCATCTTTAATTATTTTTGAAATTTTTGATAGGTATTTAATATATTTTGACAGGTGATTAATAAATCTTTGTTTATTGAGGGTGGAATGAAAGCTTTATTTTGTTCCCTTAAATAGGTCATGCTTCTCAGTGTCTGCATGTTTTGCATTTCTTTGTTTAAATTCTGAGATTTAAAGAAACATCCACATCTCCCAGTCTTTATATACTGGCTTAGTGTAGTGGAAAACCTTCATCAATTACCCCAGCTAGAGATCCTGGGAGCTTTGCAAACCATTCCAAGAGTTGTATCCTCTCTGAGCTTTTGGATGTAATTGCCAAGTTAAATCGGGTTTTTTGTTTGTTTGTTTGTTTTCAGGATTTTGTAATATTTTACTTCACCTGTTGTCATTCTGTAGTAATAATGCAGCTGTTCTTGTACTGCCCTAAACAGCCACACTGCCTTTATTCCCAGGCATTCAAATGCTGGGGTTTCTATAAGTGATTTAAGTTCGGTGACAGGAATCAGATCCTTGGGAAGTCCCCTAAGGAGCCAGAACATTAGACCACATTTCTCGCTTCTTTCACTCCTATGGGAAAAGTTATGACTAAAGATTTTTTTCCTGATTGTGTAATGCTGTACGGTCTAGAGAAGGATCTATCGAGAGTATATGGTACAACATTTCCTAGATATTAAAATAAAATTCTTTTTGGCTTTGCTCTTTTCTGAGGTGCTGCAACCTTTTCACTGGTTTCTGAGATTATCACCATGGCAAATTGGTCTATATGATGTTGTTAAGTCTCTTTCTGCATGGGGAACAGGGACAGGGCATTCCTGCTCTGCCACCTTTAAAACATCAATTTTGCCACCACGCCATGTGCAAATTTTAAAGACTATGTGATAAAAATATGGCAATTTGCTTTTAGTTGTTAGGTCTAGAAGTGAGGCTCTAGGTAATTATTAAAAATTCCTTTGAGATTTTTCTTTGTTTGCAACAATTGATATAAAAAACCAAAGAGGATATTACAAGAAAATTTCTGAAATAAGATGAGATCAAATAGCATTGATATGGTGACTTTGTATCATTTATTTGACCCTTGTTGGACACTTAGAATGTGTTATTTAATTTATACACTTTAATATTTATAACACGCACATATAGGATTATAATTTAATTTACATCTCCTCACACTATGCTCAGCCTAAAGTGAACATGGTCCAAAGCTTTGTTAATAACTTAATGATCTGAAATTTAGAATGTCTATGCTGGGAGCTTCTTACGGGAATGAGAGAACAAACCTGGGCAGACTCCTGGTAAGAAAGTGGTGGTTAAGATAGAACATATTACAACTACAAGGCCAGTTGGATTCTGATTGCAACTGATATTAAAAGGCAATGCCAGATTGATGAAGGAGAGTCTTATGAGCAACAGCTCTTGAGAGGAAGGGAGTCCCACGTACAATGAGTGTCCAAGCTAAAAAGTCCCAGAGTGTCAGCAGGATCAACTCCAGAAATGGCTTCTCACCTGTCAGAGCATGTTAATCAATTACTGTATTTAATTACAGAGACTTAAAAGAGCTATAATCAGCTTTTCCTAGATTATAATAATATTTTAAAAGTCAAACGTATCAGTGTAAAAACTTAAAAAGTGTTAAAAACATAGTAAATATTTTTATTTACATTTAATTATGTACATACAGAAGAACAATACTTATATTTCTTTTTATATAGTCATTTTAAAACTGGAATTAATTTATATATATACCTTATCAACATGTGTAACAATTTCAACATTTTCAAAAATCCAGTTGAGCCAATTTATTTATTTAATAAATCAAGTCCTTAAATTAAAATATAAATAAGCATGTCACTAAGGTTATACAACAGTAAACAAAATAAAAAGTGTAACATATTTGCTTAATTTGTGTAAAGATTATTAAACTATATTTAGTTTAGTATACAGCTTTACATATCTAAATATTTAATACATACTATTATTTGTGAAGCAGGTATTCTAATACCTTAAATTTTTGCCATGTAAGCCATTACTTGATGAATTTGCAGTTCTCGAAGATTGAGACTGAAAAACCGTATACTGATCTTACTTTCAGAGCAAGCATCTCTTTATTTTTCTACATTAATTAGACTTTTGATTATAGAGATAAGAATTATAAGTATTCATCATTTTTAAAGAATAGACATTTAAATCTTCTTTATTAAGTGTACCATCAACTAAAATTTTATAAAATCAGCAATTAAAACCACATATTTCTAATGGTTACTTATCTCAAAATAATCTGGTTACCTTGAATATCTTATTGACATTTTCTCTATGTAAGAAATTATTAGTTTCTTTTATTATTTGAGGACTGTCTATTTATCATCAAGAGCACACAAAAAATGTTGGTTGAGTGATGGCAGAAATGTAGGCCATGACATCTAGATGAGGTATGTGGAAATATAGCAAACTATTCTGAGTGTAATGCTCTATTGTCATTTTTAGCAATTCATTGTCTGAGATCAGTAATGCTGGGTATGTAGAAGGGCTTATTTAAATTGAAAAATAAAAATCATTATGTTTCTCATAACAAGCTAAGGCATAGAATGCTTAACTGATTTGTGTGGTTTACTGAATTTCGTGAATTTTACATTTTTTACTTCTTTACATCCATGTGTTTGTGCAAACACCAGGAATCAGCATACTGAAGGTCACCCTATCACTTAAGGTTATAGAAGTGATGACATCATGGAAACCATGATATCAGAAATAGGAAAATGTAGATGTATTAATGTCCTTGTGTTAATAAGTGACAGAAGAGAGTAAGGACACCTAGGAAAATACAATGCAACAATAAGATATACTCACAACTTCATGATCGTGGAATTCTAGGCTACTTAGCTAAGATAAAATATCAGAATAGATAGTATGAAAATAGGAAGGGAACATGTTTTCACTAAAGTCTTTGTGGCTGGAATTAACAGGATTACCCCATCAGGTCTTCCCTAAATTTGGAAAGATCTGTTCCCTCTTTTCTATCTTTCTAGTTTTATTAAATTTTTGAGAGGAAAATAAACAACATCATGAGACCAAGAATATAGCAGTTGCCACCCAGGCACGTGGGAACACAATCATGTCTATAGAGTAGTGCTGGAACCAGGTGAGGTCGTTGGCAGCTGATCGCAGGTGCTTGGCTCCTTTGTGGCACATGACAAACTCAATCCAGGAGACTGCTCTATCCAGGGTCTTTATGGGTTGATCATGGTGAATTCTTGATAATCTCATAGCATCCTCCTTGTAACTGGAAGGCAAAAACACACATAGAAATTAGAAAGTTGTAGTTTTGTTTTCATAAAAGACAGGTAGATAAACTGTAGTATATGTTATGCAAGCTAAAAATTTGTTGGGTAAAAGATTGATGCTGGTTGTGATGTGAACATTATTGGTTGCATAGCATTAAACAGATATAGTGGGGAGACTGAAAAAGAGTATATTCTTAACAAAATGGGGTAAAACAAAGAGGTGAATAAAAGTTTAGTAAGCCAGTTGTTAACTTAAACCTAATATTTCCATGAAGATTGACACACTATGAACTATAATATCCAGGACTATTCCAATACCAAGGTGATTAATGACTTAATATTGCGGAGGAAAATCCCTTAAAATGTCTACCAGGATTATATTTAACATTTCCTGGCATAATGTATAACATAATCAATGTTAGATCAGTCTTTACAATCAGTAGTACTTACGAGGAATTGTTAATGGCTGTTCTCAAACACTGAGTAAATCTTCGCTTGTGATAGTTTTGAAGTTAATTTCTACAGCTGCTCCTTTGGCCTTCCTGTGAGCTATGTTATCAAGCTGATCACCAAATATGGGAACTCCCACCATAGGGACGTCATGGTAAATAGCTTCATAGATCCCATTCATTCCACCATGAGTGATAAAAGCTTTGGTTTGGGGTGACCTTGTATGCAAATTGAATGAGAAATGGTGAGATATTTTATTATGAATTTTTAAAATAATTTCAGCACCAAAGATGGGAATTATGAGATAACTCACTGAAGCGTACAGCATTTTCTTTAGAAGGTGAGCACATGGAGCATTGCTAGTAAAGATCATTTCTATCTTCAGAAAAAGAGGCATTAATTCCTCCTGAATTTCCTGTCACTCTCATCTTAACAATAGAAAGTGTGAGTCTATCTATACAATTTTAGTCAATCCTTTAATTATATCTGCTTCAAAAGTATAAGTAAAATAAAGTTTTATAATTTTAAATATTTGCTGAATTTGCTCACTGTTTAACATTTATTCATTTTTCCTCATCTAGTTCATATTTTTACTTTCTCATAGGCCTACCAAGAAGGTCAGTCTGGGGTATCCAATCATACAGCTTAGTGCTGGTTCCTAATGTGGATGGTTTTTTTTCCTTTGTACCTCCATAACACCTATGGAAGAAACACATGTACTTCACAGATTGAACTACAGGACATTAGCATTCTAAGTATGTAGATATAGTTATAAATTATACACTCATTGTACTTCAGGTGATGGTTGAGACAGGGGTATGTAGACGTACTGTGTAAACACTAAAAGATATAGTAGGACATTTTACAAAGGTCTTTTCAGATAATGTGTACTTGTTGCCTATTAAGTATACAATTATTATTTTATTATCAATCAAAAATATCTGAAAATGAGAATATCAGTGAATAATTAAAAAGTAATTCAGCACTGGCTACTCAATTTTCTAATAAGAATTAAAAATTTTATAAGTACATGATCCCTATGTCATTTTAAACCATGGAACTATTCTACTTCTACCATCAAATTTACCATTCCCCGCAGATAAAATTTGCTTTCAATTTTGTGTGTGTTTTGGATAATCAGTTGTCTTTTCTTCTCTATTTTCTTTCTGACCTCTGCTTTCTTATATTTAACTGTTTTATTGAAGAAGTATAAGCTAGAGAATTACTTATGTTCCGTTGTTCAATGATAAATTTTCTTTGGGATTGTACCTGTTTTCAATAATTTTTAATTGTGGGAAACCTATAAAAAATGTCATACATTTGAAAAGAAATGATGGCACAGATTTTTCAAACTACTTAACAGATAATTTTGTAATTAAAATTACAAGATTTCACATTCCTAATTAGTGTACTTGCCTTTATTGAGTTTGATGTATTTTAGCTAAATAGAAAGTAAAATATCTTTTGGATAGTTTATATATAGCACTATCTAAAGTGTGAAATTCTGGAATTATAGTAGTAACAAAGTTAAAATCAGTTGAGTATTATAAATAATTACATTACTTAAATAATTAAGTTACTATAATATAATTGCAATTGACATTTAACTCTTAAAAACTCTAATTATTGAGAAAGATTACATTAAGCTGAGCTTTTATTTCTATGCAAAAGTACCATGAATACAGTTTTTATGCACTCAAATATGAGAAGGATATTCTTGAGATTGAGACTGATTCTTCTTTATCTTTTTTTTATCAGTTTTCTTTTTTCTGGTCCTTGGAAATAATAAATGTCAGAACTTATTTTGGAACAGTTGGCACATGCCTTTAGATTTCAAATTGTAAAATAAGATGTAGGGGCTTAATTTATTATTTCTATTTTATTATAAACAAACCACAATCAAGAGTGTTGTTTCCAGTAACAGCAAGGATCAGTAGGCAAAAGCTATACTTTCTCATTATGTGAATAGCTACTTATCAGGATTGGAGGTTTTACTGACCTTCTGTGGGATCTGGGCAAGGGCTGAAGCAATGATATTAACCTTTTCCTCTGTAACATTTTGAAACAGTGACCCCAGAGAAAGCACCACAATACCATCTTCCCATGAACTCTGGACAAAATTTTCCATTTCCTGAAGATAAAAATTTCTCTGCATTACAGAGGTGTAATATGAAAAATATTAAAATAAAGGTTATTTACACTTCTAAAATAAAGAGTTGAGAAATTATTAGTGTGTAGTTATATTCTGTCTCTATATTCTGACACATAGAACCATCTAGTCTCTTTTTAAGAAAGTCTATGTGTAAAACATATGGCTTAAATAAATAATCATTCATGACTAGAAAATGCACACAACCAAAACAGTATACGAAAAGTTTCAGTGATAAGAGTACATCTCTTTTCATGTCTGTGTCACGTAGACACAAAATCCTAAAAACAAAATAATTTCCTAACATGTAAAAATATTTTTGAGTAGTGACATCAGCAAGATGGTGGAACTGAAGACCTCTAGCATCAATCCATCTTAAAAGTACAACTAGCAACTATTCAAATATAAAAATACCACTCTGAATGCACCGGAGCTCAGGAGAAAGGTGAAAAATCTTATTGGTTCATGGAAATTAAAAAATCCATGACCAGAAAGAAGAAAGGTCATTTGTGCTGCATCAACCCATTCTCCAAACCAAAATAGCACCACTCACAGAAAACTTCCCTGTACCTGCAATTACCCAGGTGGAAGAAAATAATTGCAGGTGGACGCTCAGTCCCCATGTCAGGGTGTGAATCATTGTGAGAAATCTTCTTTTTTCCATCCCACAGGAGGTATTAGGAGTGTCAGAAGGACTGAACCACCTGGGTTGAATTGGAAGCAAAGAGCAGAAGCACTAATCACAGCAAATGGCAAACAGATCTTGGCAGACGCTTTGTGTTCCTATCAACAGGGAATTCACATTGATGGGGGGGGCTAGCCAGCACTACAGTAGTACAGGAGGCACAATCCAGGGGAAGGCTAGAATCTTTGGTCAGATTTTACAAATATCCCAGGTGATCATACAGAGCCTTTCTCTGACCCAGAAACAACTATCAGGTAAGTAACTAAGTTCTAGTTATTTCTTAAGCCTTCCCCAACCCGGAAATTATTACGGCTTTGGGTTTAAGTTCTGGTGCAGCATTGTGTTTTCATGGTCATGATAAGTCTTCCCCAGACAGGAAAACAACAGCATGGAAGAGATTTAGCTCTAATGCACTATTTAGGTTCTGCTATCAAATATAAGCCATCCTCAGAACAGAAAGAATGCTCAGGGTAGTGATTCAGCTCTGGTATTAAGCAGTAATATTTTAACACCACTGCATAACACATTAAAAAGCTGAATCAAGTGGCCATCTTCTTAAATATGCAGGCATCAATGTAAACAGCAAGTATTGTTAAAAAAAAAAAAAAAAACAGGGAAATATGACATCTCCAAAAGAAACCAATCAAGTTTCAATAATGCACAAAAAGATTCGAAGATGCTTAAATATCTGACGACAAATTCAAAATAAATCTCTTTGAAAAGTTCAGGAATCACATAAACCATAATCAAAAAACTAAAAGAAACTTGGAAAATAATGCAGACACAATATTAGACATTTCAGAAAGAAATCAAAATAATAAAAAAATGAAATCCTTGAAATGCAGGATAAAATTGTTAAACTGAAAAACTCATTAGAAAACTTTAACAGTAGACTTGATCAAACAGGAAAGAATCAGTAAGCTCAAAGAAAGAAAACATGTAATTACCCAATCAGAGGGATAAAAGTAAAAAGAAAGAATGGCGGCCACAGAAATTTTATGACACTATGAAGGGAACTACCTCCACATAATTTAAGTTTCTAGAGGATATGAGAAAAGAAAGGACTAGAAAACAAACTCAATATAATAACTCAATGTTTTCCAAATTTGGAGAAAGACAATAATATCTGGGAACAGTTAGCTTGGACAACACCAGACAAATTCAACGCAGAAAGTAATTCCCAAAGCACATTATAATCAAATTACCAAAAATCAAAGAACAAAAACAATACTGAAAGCAGCAGGAGAGATAGAAAAACAAAACAAAACAACAACAACAAAACATAACACATTCAATAGTGTTACCAAATGGTTTTCAGTGAATTTTCAGTGAAAACAAAAAAAAAAGAAAGAAAGAAAAAAAAGCAAACTTGCAGGCAAGAAGAGAGTGGGATAATATAGCCAAATGCTGAAGTAATCAAAAATTTGAAAAACCTTTAATCCAAAAATACTGTACTCATCAAAGCACTTCTTCATATATGAGGAAGAGATAAAGACTTTTCAAGACAAATAAAACTAGGAGAATTCACCAACACGAAACCTGTTTAAGAAGAAATGCAAAGGGTATTTTTCACTCTAAAGGAAAAGGACACTAACATGTAACAAATAAAAATATAAAAAGTCACTGGTAAATGTAAATATATAGACAAATTCAGAATATTCTAGTGCTCTAATTGAAATGTGGTCTAATGTTCTGGCTCCTTAGAGACTTCCCAAGGGTCTGATTTCTGTCACTGAGCTTAAATCACCTATAGAAACCCCAGCATTTGAATGCCTGGGAATAAAGGCAGTGGGGCAGTTTAGGGCAGTACCAGAAGAGCTGCATTATTACTACAGAATGACAACAGGTGAAGTAAAATATTACAAAATCCTGAAAACAAACAAACAAACAAACAAAAACTGGATTTAACTTAGTAATTACATTCAAAAGCCTGGAGAGGCTACAGCTCTTGGAATGGTTCACAAAACTCCCAGAATCTCTAGGAGGGGTGATAGATGAAGGTATTTCCCTACACTAAGCCAGTACATAAAGACTGGGAGATGTGGGTGTTTCTTTAAATCTCAAAATTTAAACAAAGAAATGCAAAACATGCAGACATTGGAAAGCATGACCTGTTTAAAGGAACAAAGTAAACCTTTTTTCAATCCTGAATGAACAAAGATCTATCCATTACCTGTCAAAAAATTCAAAATATCTTAAATACCTATCAAAAATTTCAAAAATAATTAAAGATGCTCGATTAACTAAAAGAACATAGACAAGTTTTTAAAAATCAGGAAAATAATACATATATGAAATAAAAGTATCAACAAAGACACAAAAATTATAGAAAACAACCACATAGATATTCTGGAGGTAAATAATACAATAACTAAATTGAAAAATTTACTAGAGAAATTCAATAGATGACTTGTTCAGCTAGAAAAAAATAATTCATGAATTTGAAATATTGGCCATTTCAAGCTATTAAGGGAGAGGAGCAAGAAGAATCTCATAATAAAATGAAGAAAGCCGGAGGCTTATGGGACATTGTTAACCTGACCAGTTATGCATTATGAGAGCCCTCATGGGACAAGAGGAAAAGATTGAGATAAAAAGTCTATTTAAAGAAATAATGGCAGGCAGACAATTCCCAAATTTGAGGAAGAATATGGACATAGAATTGTTTTAAAATACAACTACCGTACACTGAGATCAATTCAAAAATTTTGCATCAATAAATATCATAATCAAACTTTCAAAAGTCACAAAGAAAGAATCTCGGAAGCAGAAGAAAAATGAATCATGACATAAAAGGGAACTCACATGGTATTATCAACAAGATACCAGCAGACATCTTTTTAAACCAAAAGTAAGTGATGTAACATATTCAAAGTGTTGAAAGAAAAATCAGAAAAGAAAAAAAAAACCTACCACACAAGACATTCATTTGGCAAACCTGTCATTCAGAAATAATGGAAAATTGAATATTTTCTCGGGTTTAAAAAAGGTTGAAGAAGGTAATTATTACCACACCTGTCCTACAAAAAAGCAAAAAGGAGTCTTTCAAGTTGAAATGAGGGAGACCAGGTAGCAAAATGAATGAATGTAAAAGTATAAATTTCTCTGGTAGAGATAAATATGTAATTAAATATAAAATCCCATAAGTTTTTAATGTTGCTTCACAAGTTTCTTTTAATTCTGATATGCAATTTAAAAGAGAAAAGCATAAAAGTAACATTACATTTATATTAATTGGGACACAACACAAAATATACAACTAGTGATATTGCTAACATAAAGTAGGAATGGGAGATGTAAAGGAATAGACTTTTCATGTATAATTAAAGGGTTTTTTGTTTAAAATGAACTGTTATTTTAAAATGTTTATTTTATTTAATATTTATTTATATTTTATTTTTATAATTTGTAATTATTTTATAATTATATAAAATTAATTTTATATTTTATTTTATTTATATTTTATTTATTTATTTTTAAATTTGTTTTATTATATAATGTTTATTATAAAATACTTCATGCAATCCTCCTGGTAACCACAAAATACACCTATAGAACAAGGGTGCCCAATCTTTTGCCTTCCCTGAACCACATTGGGAAAAGAAGAATTGCCCTTGGACACACATAAAATACACTAACACTAGCCATAGCTGATGAGCTGGGAAAAAATCGTAAGAGAAATCACAGTGTTTGAAGAAAGTTTACAAGTTTGTGCTGGGCCACATTCAAAGCCGTCCTGGGCTGCATGCACCTGTCAGGCTGCAGGTTGGACAAGCTTGCTGTAGAAGATACACAAAAAGAAGTGAAAAAAGGAACCTGAACTTACAAATGTAGCAAAAACAATACTATGAAAATAGTTTATAGTAATAAATGCCTATGTTAAAAAGAAGAAATATCTAAAGCAATCTAACTTTACATATCAAAGAACTGACCAAAATTATCAGAAAGAAAAAAGTAATAAAGATTACAGCAGAAATAAATACAATAGAAAATAGAGAAAAATCAGCAAAACTGAGTTATTGCTTTCTTTTTTTGAAAAGATCAACAAAATCAAGAAATTGTTTTCTTGATTAAAAAAAGCGAATAGTTGTATAATTAAAATCAGGCTGAGCATGGTGGCTTATGCCTGTAATCCCAGCACTTTGGAATGCTGAGGCAGGCTGACTGCTTGAGCCCAGGAGTGGGAGACCAGTCTGGGCAACATGGTGAAACCCTGTCTCTACTAAAACTACAAAAATTAGCCAGGTGTGGTGGCATGCACCTGTAGTCCCAGCTACTCAGGAGGCTGACATGAGAGAATCGCTTGAACTCAGGAAGTGAGGGTTTCAGTGAGCTGAGATGGTGCTGCTGCTGCACTGCAGCCTGGAGACACAACAAAGACCAAGCCAAAAACAAAAAGAAATAAGAAAGAGAAGACATTACAACTGATGCCATAGAAATAGGTTGCAAGAAAGAAAATATTGGTAAATAATTTATCAGCTAAGTGTTTTATATTCAAAATATATGACAATTCCCTATAATTTAATAGCAAAAATTCAATTAAAATAATTCAAAGACTTGAATACACATTTATTCAGAAAATATAGACATATGGCCAAAAAGCATATGAAAAGATGCTTAACATCACTAATTATTAGAGAAATGTAAACCTAAATTACAATGAACTATCACATCATAACCATTAGCCACCTCAAAATATTTTTGAATACATATATTCACACACACACACACCCCCCCCCCCACACACACACACACAGCCCAGAAAACAAAAAGTATTGAAGATAATATATATAAATAGGAGCTCTTGTGCATTATTGTTAGGAATGAAAAATGGTGACACCCGTATAGTTAAGGTATGGAGGTTCCTCAAAAAAATAAAATAAAATAAAATTACCATATGACCCAACAATGTTACTTCTAGGTATTTATCCAAAATAATTAAAAGTAGGATCTCAAAGACATATTTGCACATCCATGTTCTTTGCAACATTATTCACAATAGTCAAGAGAGCAAAGCAACACAAATGTCCATGGATGGATGAATGGACAAAGAAAACATGGTATATAAATGAAATGAATGATTTTTTTAGCTTGTAAAAAAGGAAAATTCTATTCTATCGTATGTGACAACATTGATGAAGCTTGAGGATGTTATAACAAGTTGAATAAGCCAGTCAAAAAAAGATAAATACACATATAAGTGATTTCACTGACATGTGGTGTCAAAAGTAGTAAAACCCATAGAAAGAGAAAGTGGAATAGTGGATACCAGGGGCTGGAGTAAAGGGAAAATGGTATGTTGTTCAATGTGTTTTCGAAGATGAACATTTTCTAGAAACCTGTGGCACAAAAATGTAAATATACTTTAACATTGCTGAATTGCAAACTTAAAAATTGTTAAGATGGGAAATTGTATGGTAACTTTTTTAACACAACCAATCACTCAGAAGTTACAAATAAAATTGAAATTTTTAAAAGTTACATAAGTTTCACTAAACTTCAAAAAAAAGCTCCCTTAAAAGTAGTGTGTATACCATCTAGACTGCTTTATTATTTATTAATTTTTAACTCTCCATTTTTTACCCTCTCTCTAACTACTCATCTACTTTGAACTTGGTTTGTGTTGGATATCAATTAATCAACATAATCTCAAAGACCTAGCTCTAATTTACATTCCCACCAACAGTGTAAAAGCATTCCTATTTCTCTACAGCCTCACCAGCATTTATTGTTTCTTGACATTTTAATAATCACCATTCTGACTGGCGTGAGATGGTATCTCATTGCGGTTTTGATTTGCATTTCTCTAATGATCAGTGTGTTGTGCTTCTCTCCAAGGAACATGCTTTCTCACATTCAGGAGGCTAGAAGTGTGTAATCAAAGTGTGATTAACAGAGTTGGTTTCTTCTAAAGCCATTATGATTGGTTTGTAGATGGTTGCCTTCCTTCAGTGTTTTTACATGGACTTCCTTCTCTGTGTTTGTCCTTATGTCCATATAAGATATTCTCTATATGCCCTCATTTTATATTAGTTTTTTCCATAATGGCCCTGTCTCCAAATGTAGTCCTATTCTGAGGTACTTGGGGTTAGAACACAAACAAATGAATTCTGAGTAATGAGCCATGACTCAGCCCATAAGCACTATTTAACATTTCAAAATAAATTATACATTTTGACAAAAAAAATACCAATAGTAGAGTATGCATTCTCAATATCTATGCTTTCTATTATCCCAACATTAAGATAAACAAAGTGAAAATAAATAAGATGTCCAAATGAACATTCCAATAAATCTAAAGAAGAGAATCCAAATCTTCTTATTAGAACAATTAAGATCTCATGGAAAACTTTCTTAGACTCAACCAGAAATCCTTTCCGTTGTATTTAATTTTAAGTGCATAAATTCCTATTATATAAAATTATTTTAGAAAGCTTTTATGTAATTTGTGCTATATTGCTTAATTTGATGATCTTTTCCATGAGGACAGCTATATTCCACTTTGACTATTGGAATAAGTAGGCTGTCCAAAGTCCAGACTCATTCACCATCAATTGACTGAGAAATTAAAGCATGAAACACATTTAGGATGAATCTGGCTTATGAGCTTGCTGTACTTATTTTAAACCAAGGGTAAATTAAAGGAAGAGTTGGTCATGAAAACTGTGAATGTCTTCTGTGTGTGTGTGTGTGTGTTTGGTTTTGTTTTTTTTTTTCCTGCTGAATCTGTGTTTCTTTGACTCTGGAAAGTTTGGGAAAGTACTTGTCTGGCCCATGAATTTTAGTCACTCAATTTAAAAGTTATTCTAGAAAAACTCCAACTTGATGGATATGAGATAACCATGTTAGCACCTCCACCAAGCCTTCTGCTTGATCATGCTGATTCCTTTTAATGTGAAGGTTCTCCTACTTTCAGTAAACTAAGAAACCCTCACAGAAGATATCTTTGCTTTTCTCTACAAAGCTTCTTTAGAACTGCAGAGTCTTTCATGGTGTGGCAGGCAAATAAAAATGAGGAGTTACTCAGCAGGCTGTAGGCAGCCAAGTTTATTTGTTTTGCTGACCCTCTAGCTTACTATGGAGAATTGATGGCTGGGCTTCTCAACATTTCATTTATATATTCGTTTCTGGTTTCCCATGGGAATCCCAGATGTCTTACCTCTTCTTTGTATATTCCCGGCAGCACATCAGGATTGATGAAAAACATGCCTTAAATGCAGAGGCTAAATGTTTTGCTTTGTATTTTTTGTTTGTTTGTTCTTGGTTTTGAGAGGGTTTTGGTCTATCTAACTTGCGATCTGCTGGTATTATATGTTATATTTCCAGAACGGTATGAATAGTATAGGTCATAGTAAAGGATTATTATCCTTATCATTAATATTTAATATTTAAATTGTGATTAAATATTTAACATTGTTGAAATGATACTGTAGTACGGTAATAGATTTAAAAAGATACTGAAGGAGTGAGGCTGAGGTATCATACTCATTTCGGTAAGTATGGAAATACTGACAATATTTTTTGTAGATTAAGTAATAAACTATTACTACCACAACATTTTAGAAAAGGAATATTTATTATATTTTCACCTAAACCCTTTCTGATGTTTCTTACTCTTTGTAGTATCTCCGTGCCTTTTATATTGGATGTGATTTTATTGCATTTATTCTCATTTGCTCATGGTTTACATTTCTTGATGGTTTGACTTGGTTTCTAGAGTCAGAATTAAGTTTAGGTTCATGATGCAGTAATGTAGCCCTAAAAATAAATATTGATTTTATTCTTCTTTTGACAAATGACAGAAAAGCAGGAAGATATTTCTATAAAGAATCATAATTTTAGGCTTTGGATTATATATGAAAGGAACAAGTGGGAAATATATTCCTCTTTAATTTCTTATCAATTTTGTTTTCAAATTCAGCTTATATCTGTTTACAATAAAAATTATCTGATATTTTTATGTGTTATATCATTTCAGCTGTTCTTGCTCCCTTACTTTCCCACAATATAAACTGATGCAAAGGACTAAACTGCAAAAACATTTGCAAAATAAATTTTATGCTTATCTGGTGTGCATAGTTCAGAGTTATGTCCTTTTGTTATTCCTGTGATTCCTGTTTTGAATGCCTAAATTCTAACTTAAAAATCAAATATTTCTCTCTACCACATGTCATTGAACATTAATACTATTTTGATTTACTTAATCATGATTCCTCTATGTCAGCTCACATACATGATGTACATTTAAAGTTCTATTGAATTCAGTACCATAACTAAAAAATATTGATGATCTCTGTTTGAGAATTTAGAATACAGTAATTCTAAATTTAAATCATAACCTGACACAGATTATTGTAAAATTTTTCTTCAATTCAAAGCTTTTATGTGTCTAGTAGGTATAATTATTACAGTTTTACTTATGTATTATCATTGTAAGTTCTTTTTATAAGAAAAAAACAGAGACTCAATAAAATTGGTAATGTTACATTATATTCATGTAGAAATATATTTTTAAATTTATTTAAGGAGCATTTTTAAATAAATATTGTGCATGCTCTCAAAATTAAACCTATATCATATGTATAAAAGTAACAATATTTTACTTTATTGTAAAGCCTAAGATATATATTTATGCTAGAACGCACCTCTTACATTAAATTTGGAATATGAATGACTTAACCCATGTCATAAGTGGCCTATTTATTTTAATATACACTTTATAAGCTCCATTCATGCCAGGTCCTGAGCTAGCCCCTCATGATACAAAGATAAATAAGGCTTCACTATAATAAGTTCTCTGTCTCTTTCTTTCTTTCTTTCTTTCTCTCTCTGTCTCTCCATTTCTCCCATCTCTGTCTGCCTGTCCTCACACTCCTTCACCACACTATCATGTGGTATACTAAAATGAAACAAATTCAGACAGTATTGTTCCATATATACATTTCTTTATTAGAAAGAAGAGAGAGAAAAGATACAAATTTAAAGCAGTTTTAGGATTTGTTTCTGGGATGCAATATTAATTAGTACATGACATACACTAGATAACTGCTGCTAGAGTATCCATTAAAGAAAACACAAACACCCCCACTACACATACACACTAATTTACTCACGATGGCTCTGTCTATATATATATATGTATATATAAACATGTATTTTAAAGTAAATATAGAAATATACGATATATTATGTTATGTCAATAATAATCAAAACAGTAGAACAATCTAAAAATCTCAATTTTCCTAATTAGTTTCCCATTGCTAATTATTTCAAAATCATAAATATTTTTCATTCATTAAAATAAAGACAAATTTGAGATTTTTCTCCATATCTGATCTTACAAGAATTCAAAAACTATTCATGAGCATTTTAATTTAATATCAATAAATTATTTTCACAAGTTCAGTTAGTATAATTTCTCTGTATATGGAAGCAGTAGAAATGTCAATTCAGTTGCCAAGGTTTGACAAAAGGTACCATTTGTGACAATGTGGATGAACCTAGAGGGTATTATGCTAAGTGAATTAAGCAAGTTCAAGAAGGACTAATATGGGGGGCAGTTCCAAGATGGCCCAATAGGAACAGCTCCAGTCTATGGCTCCCAGCATGAGCGACACAGAAGATGGTTGATTTCTGCATTTCCAACTGAGGTACTGGGTTCATCTCACTGGGGCTTGTCAGACAGTGGGTGCAGGACAGTGAGTGCAACCAACCCATGGAGTGTGAGCCAAAGCAAGGCCAGGCATCTCCTCACCCAGGAAGCACAAGGGATCAGGGAATTCCCTTTCCTAGCCAAGGGAAGCTGTAACAGATGGCACCTGGAAAATCAGGTCACTCCCACACTAACACTGCGCTTTTCCAACAGTCTTAGCAAATGGAACACCAGGAGATTATATTCCATGCCTGGTTCGGAGGGTCGCATGCCCATGGAGCCTCACTCATTGCTAGCACAGCATTCTGAGATTGAACTGCAAGGCAGCTGTGAGGCTGGGGGAGGGGTGCCCGCCATTGCTGAGGCTTGAGTAGGTAAACAAAGTGGCCAGGAAGGTGGAACAAGGTGGAGCCTACCATAGCTCAGGAGGGCTGCCTGCCTCTGTAGACTCCACCTCTGGGGGGCAGGGCATAGCTGAACAAAAGGAAGCAGAAGCCTCTGCAGACTTAACTGTCCCTGTCTGACAGCTTTGAAGAGAGTAGTGGTCTCCCCATCAAAGAGTTTGAGATCTGAGAACAGACAGACTGCCTCCTCAAGTGGGTCCCTGACCCCTGAGTAGCCTAACTGGGAGGCACCCCCCCAGTAGGGGCAGACTGACACCTCACACGGCCAGGTACCCCTCTGAGACAAAGCTTCCACAGGAACGATCAGGCAGCAACATTTGCTGTTCAGCAATATTAGCTGTTCTGCAGCCTCTGATGCTGATACCCAGGAAAACAGGGTCTGGAGTGGACCTCCAGCAAACTCCAACAGACCTGAAGCTGAGGGTCCTGAATGTTAGAAGGAAAACTAACAAACAGAAAAGACATTCACACCAAAATCCCATCTGTACGTCACCATAAACAAAGACCAAAGGTAGATAAAACCACAAAGATGGGGAAAAAACAGAGCAGAAAAGTTGAAAATTATAAAAATCACAGTGCCTCTCCCCCTCCAAAGGAACACAGCTCCTCATCAGCAATGGAACAAAGCTGGATGGAGAATGACTTTGAAGAGTTGAGAGAAGAAGGCTTCAGATGATCAATCTTCTCCAAGCTAAAGGAGAAAGTTTGAACCTATCACAAAGAAGCTAAAAACCTTGAAAAAAGATTAGACAAAGGGCTAACTAGAATAACCAGTGTAGAGAAGTCCTTAAATGACCTGATGGAGCTGAAAACCATGGCAGGAGAACTATGTGACACATGCATAAGCTTCAGTAGCTGATTCGATCAACTGGAAGACAGGGTATCAGTGATTGAAGATCAAATGACTGAAATGAAGCGAGAAGAGAAGTTTAGAGAAAAAAGAGTAAAATGAAATGAACAAAGCCTCCAAGAAATATGGGACTATGTGAAAAGACCAAATCTATGTCTGACTGGTGTACCTGAAAGTGATAGGGAGAATGGAACCAAGTTGGAAACCACTCTGCAGGATATTATCCAGGAGAACTTCCCCAACCTAGCAAGGCAGGCCAACATTCAAATTCACGAAATACAGAGAATGCCACAAAGATACTCCTCAAGAAGAGTAACTCAAATACACATAATTGTCAGATTCACCAAAGTTGAAATGAAGGAAAAAATATTAAGGGCAGCCAGAGAGAAAGGTCGGGTTACCCACAAAGGGAAGCCCATCAGACTAACAGTGGATCTCTCAGCAGAAACTTCATAAGCCGGAAGAGAGTGGGGGCCAATATTCAACATTCCTAAAGAAAAGAATTTTCAACCCAGAATGTCATATCCAGCCAAACTAAGCTTCATAAGTCAAGGAGAAGTAAAACACTTTGTAGACAAGCAAATGCTGAGAGATTTTGTGGCCACCAGTCCTGTCTTACAAGAGCTCCTGAAAGAAGCACTAAACATGGAAAGGAACAACTGGTACCAGCCAGTGCAAAAACATGACAAATTTTAAAGACCATCGATGCCAGAAAGAAACTGCATCAACTAACGAGCAAAATAACCAGCTAACATCATAACCACAGGATCAAATTCACACATAACAATATTAACTTTAAATGTCAATGGGCTAAATGCTCCAATTAGAAGATATTTTATCCAAATTGCTAGTTGGATAGTCAAGACCCATCAGTGTGCTGTATTTAGGAGACCCATATCATGTGCAGAAACACACATAGGCTCAAAATAAAGGAATGGAGAAAGATCTACTAAGCAAATGGAAAACAAAAAAAGGCAGATGTTGCAATCCTAGTCTCTGATAAAACAGACTTTAAACCAACAAAGATCAAAAGAGACAAAGAAGGCTGTCACATAATGGTAAAGGGATCAATTCAACAAGAAGATCTAACTATCCTAAATATATATGCACCCAATACAGGAGCACCCAGATTCATAAAGCAAGTCCTGAGTAACCTACAAAGAGACTTAGACTCCCACACATTAATAACTGGAGACTTTAACACCCCACTGTCAACATTAGACAGATCAACAAGACAGAAAGTTAAAAAGGATATCCAGGAATTGAACTTAGCTCTGCACCAAGCGGACCTAATAGACATCTACAGAACTCTCCACCCCATATCAACAGAATATACATTCTTCTCAGCACCACATTGCAGTTATTCCAAAATTGGCCACATAGTTGGAAGTAAAGCACTCCTCAGCAAATGTAAAAGAACAGAAATTATAACAAGCTATCTCTCAGACCACAAGGCAATCAAACTAGAACTCAGAATTAAGAAACTCACTCAAAACCACTTAACTACATGGAAACTGAACAACCTGCTCCTGAATGACTACTGGGTAAATAAGAAATGAAGGCAGAAATAAAGATGTTTGTTGAAACCAATGAGAACTATGAAACAACATAACAGAATCTCTGGGACACATTCAAAGCAGTGTGTAGAGGGAAATTTATAGCACTAAATGCCTACAAGAGAAAGAAGGAAAGATCTAAAATTGACACCCAAATATCACAATTAAAAGAACTAGGGAAGGAAGAGCAAACACATTCAAAAGCTAGCAGAGGGCAAGAAATAACTAATATCAGAGCAGAACTGAAGGAGATAGAGACACAAGAAAGCCTTCAAAAAATCAACGAATCCAGGAGCTGGTTTTTTGAAAAGATCAACAAAATTGGGAGACCGCTAGCAAGACTAATAAAGAAGAAAAGAGGTAAGAATCAAATGGATGCAATAAAAAATGATAAATGGGATATCACCACTGTTCCCACAGAAATGCAAACTACCATCAGAGAATACTATAAACACCTCTATGCAAATAAACTAGAAAATCTGGAAGAGATGGATAAATTCCTGGACACATACACACTCTCAAGACTGAACCAGGGAGAAACTGAATCCCTGAATGGACAAATAACAGGCTCTGAAATTGAGGCAATAATTAATAGCCTACCAACCAAAAAAGGTCTAGGACCAGATGGATTCACAGCTGAATTCTACCAGAGGTACAAGAAGGAGCTGGTACCATTCCTTCTGAAACTATTCCAATCAATGGAAAAAGAGGGAATCCTCCCTAACTCATTTTATGAGGCCAGCATCATCCTGATACCAAAGCCGGGCAGAGACACAACAACAAAAAAGAATTTTAGACCAATATCCCTGATGAACATTGATGGAAAAATCCTCAATAAAATACTGACAAACTGAATACAGCAGCACATCAAAAAGCTTATCCACCGTGATCAAGTGGGCTTCATCCCTGGGATGCAAGGCTGGTTCAACATACACAAATCAATAAACATAATACAGCATATGAACAGAAACAAAGACAAAAACCACATGATTATCTCAATAGATGCAGAAAAGGCCTTTGACAAAATTCAACAACCCTTCATGCTAAAAACTCTCAATAAATTAGGTATTGATGGGACGTATCTCAAAATAATAAGAGCTATTTATGACAAACCCACAGCCAATATCATACTGAATGGGCAAAAACTGGAAGAATTCCCTTTGAAAACTGGCACAAGACAGGGATGCCCTCTCTCACCACTCCTATTCAACATAGTGTTGTAAATTCTGGCCAGGGCAATGAAGCAGGAGAAAGAAATAAAGGGTATTCAATTAGGAAAAGAGGAAGTCAAATTGTCCCTGTTTGCAGATGACATGATTGTATATTTAGAAAACCCCAACATTTCAGTCCAAAATCTCCTTAAGGTGATAAGCAACATCAGCAAAGTCTCAGAATACAAAATCAATGTACAAAAATCAAAGGCATTCTTATACACCAATAACAGACAAACAGAGAGTCAAATCATGAGTGAACTCCCATTCACAACTGCTTCAAAGAGAATAAAATACCTAGGAATCCAACTTACAAGGGTTGTGAAGGACCTCTTCAAGGAGAACTACAAACCAATGCTCAACGAAATAAAAGAGGACACAAACAAGTGGAAGAATATTCCATGCTCATGGATAGGAAGAATCAATATTGTGAAAATGCCTTCACTGCCCAAGGTAATTTATAGATTAAATGCCATCCCCATCAAGCTACCAATGACTTTCTTCACAGAATTGGAAAAAACTACTTTAAAGTTCATGTGGAACCAAAAAAGAGCCCTCATAGCCAAGTCAATCCTAAGCCAATAGAACAAAGCTGGAGGCATCATGCTACCTGACTTCAAACTACACTACAAGGCTACAGTAACCAAAACAGCATGGTTGTGATACCAAAACAGAGATATAGACCAATGGAACAGAACAGAGCCCTCAGAAATAATACCACACATCTACAACCATCTGATCTTGGACAAACCTGACAAAAACAAGAAATGGAGAAAGGATTCCCTATTTAATAAACGGTGCTGGGAAAACTGGCTAGCCATATGTAGAAAGCTGAGACTGGATCCCTTCCTTACATGTTACACAAAAATTAATTCAAGATGGGTTAAAGACTTACATGTTAGACCTAAATCTATAAAAACCATAGAAGAAAACCTAGGCAATACCATTCAGGACATAGGCATGGGCAAGGACTTCATGTCTAAAAGACTAAAAGCAATGGCAACAAAAGCCAAAATTGACAAATGGGATCTCATTAAACTGAAGATCTTCTGCACAGCAAAAGAAACTACCATCAGAGTGAACAGGAAACCTACAGAATGGCAGAAGATTTTTACAATCTACTCATCTGACAAAGGGCTAATATCCAGAATCTACAGTGAACTCAAACAAATTTACAAGAAAAAAACAAAAAAACCCATCAAAAAGTGGGCAAAGTATATGAACAGACACTTCTCAAAAGAAGACACCTATGCAGCCAACAGACACATGAAAAAGTGCTCACCACCACTGGCCATCAGAGAAATGCAAATCAAAACCACAATGAGATACCATCTCACACCATTTAGAATGGTGATCATTATAAAGTCAGGAAACAACAGGTGTGGGAGAGAATGTGGAGAAATAGGAACAGTTTCACACTCTTTGTAGGACCGTAAACTAGTTCAACCATTGTGGAAGACAGTGTGGTGATTCCTCAAGGATCTAGAACTAGAAATACCATTTGACCCAGCCATCACATTACTGGGTATATGCCCAAAGGATTATAAATCATGCTACTATAAAGACACATGCACACTTATGTTTATTGTGGCACTATTCACAATAGCAAAGGCTTGGAACCAACCCAAATGTCCAACAATGATAGACTGGATTAAGAAAATGTGGCACATATACACCACGGAATACTATGCAGCAATAAAAAAGGATGAATTCATGTCCTTTGTAGGGACATGGATGAAGCTGGAAACCATCATTCTCAGCAAACTATCACAAGGGCAAAAAAACAAACAATGCATGTTCTCACTCATAGGTGGGAATTGAACAATGAGAACACATGGACACAGGAAGGGGAACATCACACACCGGGGTCTGTCGTGGGGTTGGGGGAAGGGGGAGGGATAGCATTAGGAGATATACCTAATGTAAAAGATGAGTTAATGAGTGCAGCACACCAACATGGCACATGTATACATATGTAACAAACCTGCACGTTGTGCACATGTACCCTAGAACTTAAAGTATAATAATAAAAAAAGGACAAATATTTTATGATTCCACTTATATTAGTTAAGTAAAATAGGCAAACTAATTGAAGCAGAAATAAAATAGTGATTTCCAGGGGTTTGGGAGAGAGAGAAATGGGGAGCTGTTGTTCAGTGGGTATAAAGTTTCACTTATGTTTATGAATAAGCATAGAAATTTGCTCTACAATATAATGCCTATAGTTAACAACACGGTATTGTACACTTAATAATGTGTTAAGAGGGTCAATCTCATGTTAAGCATTATTACTATCAAAAACAAAGAGTGACAAAGAGAGCTTTTGTAGGTGATGGATATGTTTATTACCTTCATTGTTGTAATGATAGCATCATAGGTGCATGTATATGTCAAAACTCATCAATTTATATATATATAAATAATATAAATATATAAGTAAAAATACTTGCAGGTTTTTTGTATATCAATTGTTCTTCCTTCAGTAAAGCTATTAAAATTATATGCATCTATTTTTGAAATTTATATGATGCATTTCTCTTATTGATGTACAAATTATTTCTTTACAGGAAATCAAAGAATTCATTGAAATCTCTGGAGAAAATGCTATTGTGGTTTTTATTGGAATTGGTGATCAAAAATTTCACAGAGAGAAACACAAATATAGCAAAATAATCTTTCCTAGATCCGACAGAACTTTAAATTTTAAACTCTATATCTGATTCTTAAAATTATTTCCCACAAAAGGAGGTAAAATTTCAAAATTCAGGTTTCATTAAACACTGCAAATCTTGACTTGCACTGTTTTCAGAAAGTTATGTCAATATAAATAACAGATGACATTTTGATATTATGGACCGAAACCCAGCTTCTGTCTATAACATAAGAAAAACAAGTGAATGCCTTACTTTATCCATCACCCAGGCTCTATAATAATGAATTTTCTAAATAAAGTGGGAAGTCTGTGAGCAGCATTAAAGGAAATCATGTTATCACTTCAATCATCTATTAGGGAGTTTAAAATTCTGGTAAAAGAGTGAGTTGACAAAGTCTGGCTTCCATTATATAATGATAGCTAGAGATATAATGACAACTCCTATCTCTGTTACTAGGCCTTCTTTTCCAAGCTAAGTTCAGTTTAAAATTTGGAAACAGCATATTTCTTTCGAGAGAGATGACATGGATCAAAATGAGTCCACTTACATTTTGACCGTAGAAGAAATGAACGACCAAAAGCCAATCCCCAAAATTGGAACAAAAGTCAGTCCAAACAAGTTGGACTATAATTCTCTGAACTTACTGTCTCCTGGATTGTGCATGCAGAACAGGGCATAATTAAGGTACTTTTGAATAATCCTATAAAAACGTTAACATTCTGAGGTGAAGAAGAAGTGGACAGATTTAATCTTGAATAAAACTGAGTAGATTCAGTTCTAACCTATAAAAGAAAGTATTTTTTCTATAAAGTCTTATAGTTGCTTTCTTAAAAGCAATATATAAGATCATTCTGTGCATTTTTAAAAAAATCATGTTTGCATAATAACAGTCTTTTGTGTTTTCATATAAATTTTAAGTTTTTTCAATTCTATAAGAAATACCATAGGAATTTAATAGAGATTGCAGTAAATCTATTAATCACTGTTAGGAGTACAGACATTTTAATAATATGAATTTTCATGTGGTCTAGCAAAGGTACTCCATCTGGAACAGGGGATGCCAGTGGAGCAACTACTTGGTGGAAATTGCAGGAGTCCACTACCAGACTCTAGGATCTGTTGGATTTTGCAGTGGTCAGACTTTTAATCAAAGATGTAATGGAGCCCATCATCCTGCATCCTTTAAACCTTTAAGGTCTTTAATTTTCACAATCCCCAGGCATGTAATGCAATATTATTTTCCATTTTCTTGGTCACCTGACATCTGTGGTAATGGAGGAATGAAGAAGTTGCATGCATATAGTGAATTGAATAGATGTCTTTGCCAAAAATGTGTGCAGTGAGTAACCTCCAGAATCTATTAAAGTGAATTTAATGGAGAAAAGATCTTTGCAGATGTAAGTAAAGTAAGAAAATCAAGACAAGTTTATTCTGGATTTACGATGTGCTTTAAATCCAATGACAGATATTCTTATAAGGAGAAAGGCAGGAGGATCCCTTGAGGCCAGGAGTTCAAGATCAGCCAAGTCAATATAGCAAGACACAGTTTCTTTTGAAAAGAATAAAGGCAGGATAAAACTAGTAAGAAAGAAAAGAAAAGATGATGCTGAGGAAACAGAAGTTGGAGAGAAGTCACAAGCCACGGGATTCCAAGAATTGTCGGTAACCAATAAAGGCCAAGAGACAGGCATTGGTTGTTTCCCTCCTAGAGCCTCCAGAACAAATGAACCCTGAGAACACAGATTTTGACCTTCTGGCTTAGAGAGATAAGAATAACAGAGAATAACTTCTGTTTTAAGAAGCCAGGAAACTAATGCAAAGAGAATCCACTTGGCTTTTTCCACTAAAATGACTTGTATCCAGACACCAATGATACAATTTCACGGTTTTCTAAAGACAAAGTGGATCTAAAAAATTATGCATTTTGGAGGCTGAGGAAATCATCAGTTATCCTAGGGATGCCACTCTCCATTTCAGGAAAAAAAAAAATTATGGAATCAGTAGCATGTAAGTTTCCTTGGTTTTACAGTTTACTGTTTTTTTTTCCCCTGGAGCCACTGGTGTCTTCTTCAGTCAATAAATTTCAGGTCTGAAAACACACTTAGGTCCAGACCCTTGACAATTTACTGTGATTTCTAGTGAGGACAGCTGCCCTCAACTTTTTAGTATCCATTCTTGAACTCTTCTGGTATTATAGATTGAGAAATTCCCTTGCTCACCTATCTATTTTGCCCCTAGTGCTATCTTCTCTGTTACTATATACACAGCTTTCATAAATTAGGTCTTTCTGGATAACACCCCAGTCTTAGTGCTCTTGTTTATTTTGACCATCTGCCTTCTGAAGGTCTCTATTATTTCAATATCTGATCATAAATCATATCAGTGAGATTGGTTTGGTAAGTCCAAAAGGACCTAGCCCTCAGAGGGTAGACATATTGAACATTCATTATAACTTCAGCAAACATTCGATAGATTTCCAACACGGTATAGGATGTCTATGTTAATGTATCCACTGTCATAAGCCTTCTGATTCCCTCTTTCATTCACTGTCAAGGGAGTTCCAGCACACAAGCTTCATTTTGTAGTAGCCACAGTCTTTCCCAAGATTATGGAGATATCTTAGTAGTAGTCTGTTACCACTATCTCCTGAAGTTTGAGCAGAAGTATTAAATTGTTTCCTTTGAGAGTGCTTCAAAATAAAAAAGGAAAGTGATGTTGAATTTTTTGAAAGCCTTTGCTGCATCTATTGAAATGATCGTGGTGTATTTCTTTTTAGTCTTATGTATGTGGAGAATCACATTTATTTATTTGCATATGTTTAACCAATCTTGCATCCTAGGATTAATGCCTACTTGATTGTGGTGGTTAGGTTTTGATGTGCTGCTGAATTCTATTAGTCAGTACTTTGTTGAGGATTTTTGTGTCCATGTTCATGATGGATATTGGCATGATATTTTCTTATCTTCCTGTGTCTCTGCCAGGTTTTGGTATCAGAGCAATCTTGGCCTCATAGAATGAGTTAAGTAGGAGGCCCTCCTCTCCAATTTTTTGAAATAGCTTCAGTAGGATGGCTAGTATTTCTTTTTATATGTATAAAAGAATTTGGCTGTGAATCTCTCTGATTCAGGCCTTTTATGTTTGCTGGACTTTATATTACTGATTCAATTTTGGAACACATTTTGGGTCACTTCAGGATTTCTATTTCTACCTGGTACAACTTTGAGATGATGTAAGTGTCCAGAAATATATCTGCTTCTTCTAGGTTTTTAAGTTTGTGTGCACAGAGATATTCATAATGATCTTTGCAGGTAGTTTGTTTTTCCTGGGGTCAATGATGATCTTCTCTTTGTCATTTCTGATTGTGTTTATTTGGATCATCCCTTTTTTATTCTTTTTTAGTCTATCTAGTGATTTATCCATCTTATTTACTCTTTCAGATAACAAACTTTCAGTTTTGTTGATGTTTTTTAATGATTGTTTGATCTCAATTTCATTCTAAAAATCCCTGAACAAATTATGAGTTAAATAAAAATACTCAAAAATAGTGTGAGCCATCTGTGAAAACCCACAGTCAACATCATACTGAATGAGCAAAAGCTCAAAGGATTCCTCTTGAGAACTGGAAAAAGGCAGTGATGGCCACTCTAACTATTGCTATTCAGTATAGTATTGGAAGTCCTAGCCAGAGTAAAAGAGAAAAATAAAAGGCATCCAAATAGAAAGAGAGAAAGACAAACTATCTCTCTTCACAGAGTTATCATTTTATACAGTGAAAACCCTAAAGCCCCTGTCCAAAAGCTCCCACTTCTGAAAAACAACTTCAGCAAAGTTTTGGGAGATAAAATGTGTGTACAAATATCAGTAACATTTTTTTATACCAACAACATCCAATCTGACAGCCAAATCAAGAATGCACTACCATTTACAACAGCCACAGATAAGATACCTAGAAATACAGCTAACCAGGGAAGTGAGAAATCTCTACCCAAACATTACAAAATGCTGTTGACAAAATTAGAAACAATACCAACAAAAAGAAATATGTTTCATGCTCAATTATAGAAAAATTAATATTGTTAAAAAGACCATACTGCCCAAAGTACTTTACTGATTCAGTGCTATTTCTATCAAACTACCATGAACATTTTCAATGAAATTAGAAAAAAAATTTTCTAAAATTCCTGTGAAACCAAAGTAGCCCAAAAGTTAAAACAGTTCTAAGAACAAACAACAAAACCAGAGGCTTACAATACCCAACTTCAAACTATAATACAAGGCTACAGTAACTGAAACAGCATGGTTCTGGTACAAAAATAGACACATAGACCAATGGAACCAGTTAAAGAACTCAGACGTAAAGCAATACACCTACAGTCATCTGATTTAAACAAAGTCAATAAGAACAAGCAATGGAGAAACAACTCACTATTCAACAAAAGGTGCTGAAATAACTGGCTGGCCATATGCAGAAGACTGAATCTAGATATCTTCTTTTTACCATACGCAAAAACCAACTGAAGATGGGTTAAAGATGTAAATGTTTAACTGATATGCTTTGGCTGTGTCCCCACCCAAATCTCATCTTGAATTGTAGCACCTATAATTTACATGTGTTGTGGGAGGGATCCAGTGGGAGGTAATTTAATCATAGTGGTGGGTCTTTTACATGTTGTTCTGGTGATAGTAAATAAGTCTCATGAGATCTAATTGTTCTATAAAGGGGAGTTTCCCTACAGAACCTCTCTTACCTGCTGCCATGTAAGATGTGACTTTGCTCCTCATTCACCTTCCGCCATAATTGTGAGGTCTCCTTGGTTATGTGAAACTCTGAGCCCATTAAACCTCTTTCCTTTATAAATTAACTAGCCTTGGGTATGTCTTTATTAACAGCATAAGAATAGACTAATACAGTAAATTGATACTAGGTAGTGGGGTACTGCTGTAAAGATATCAGAAAATGTGGAAGCAACTTTGGAACTAGGTAACAGGCAGAGGTTGGAACAGTTTAGAGGACTCAGAAGAAAAAACAGAAATATGTGTGAAAGTTTGAAACTTTCTAGAGACTTGTTGAGTGCTTTCACCAAAATGCTGATAGTGATATGGACAATAAAGTCCAGGCGGAGGTGGTCTCAGATGGAAATAACGAACTTGTTGGTAACTGGGGCAAAGGTGACTGTGTTATGTTTTAGCAAAGATTGGTGGCATTTTCCTCCTGCCCTAGAGATTTGTGAAACTTTTAACATGAGAGAGATGATTTAGGTCATCTGGTGGAAGAAATTTCTAAGCAGCAAAGTATTCAAGAGGTGACTTGGGTACAGACAAAAGCATTCCGTTTTACATATTCACAAAGATAAGGTTTGGAACTGGAACTTATGTTGAAAAGGGAGGCAGAGCATAAAAGTTTGGAAAATTCATAGCTTGGTGATATGATATAAAAGGAAAACCCCATTTTCTGAGGAGAAATTCAAGCTGCAGAAACTTTCGTAAGTAATTAGAAACCAATTGTCAATAACCAAGACAATGGAGAAGATGTCTCTATGGCATGTCAGAGGTGTTCCTGGCTGCAGCCTTTCCCATTACAGGCTAGGAGGCCTAGAAGGAAAAAATAGTTTTGTAGTCCAGGCCCAGCACCTTGCTGCTTTGTGCAGTCTCAGAACTCGGTCCCCTGTGTCCCAGCTGTTGCTAAAAGGGGCCAAGGTAGACCTCAAGCCATGGTTTCAGTGGGGCAACCCCCAAGCCTTGGCAGATTATCAGCTTTGATGTGGGATTGAGCCTGTGGGTACACAGAAATCAATAATTGAGGCTTGGGAACCTCTGTCTAGATTTCAGAAGATGTATGGAAATGCCTGGATGTTCAGGTAGAAGTTTGCAGTAGGGACGAGACCATCACAGAGAAACTCTGCTAGGGCAGTATGAAAGGAAAATGTGTGGTGTGAGCAACCCCCTGCAGCCCCCAACCCCAACACACACACAAACAGAGTCCCCACCAGAGCACTGCCTAGTGGAGCTGGGAGAAGATGGCCACCATCCTCCAGACCCTAGAATGATATATCCACGAACTGTTTGGACCACCCAACTGGAAAAGCCACAGACACTCAATGCCAGCCCATGAAAGCACCCAAGAGGAGGGCTGTACCCTGCAAAGCCACAGGGGTTGAGCTGCCCAAGGCCATGGGAGCCTACCTCTTACATCAGTGTGACCTGTATGTGAGACATGGAGTCAGAGAATATCATTTTGGAGGTGACTGCCCCTTGGATTTTACTGCCTTACCTGGATTTCGGACTTGCATGGGACCTGTAGCCCCTATGTTTCGGCCAGTTTCTGCCATTTAGGAGTGTTATTTACCCAATGCCTGTATCCTCATTGTATCTAGAAAGTAACTAACTTGCTTTTGATTTTTAAACTCATAGGCAGAAAATACTTGCCTTATGTCAGATGAGACTTTGGACTGTGGACTTTTGAGTTAATGCTCAAATCAACTAAGACTTTGGGGAACTGATGGGAGTGCATGATTTGTTTTGAAATGTGAGGACCTGATATTTGGAAGGGGCCAAGGGAAGAATGATATGACTTGGCTGTGTCCTCACCCAAATTTCATCTTGAATTGTAGCTCCCATAATTCCCAAATGTTGTGGGAAGAACTTGGTGAGTGGTAATTGAATCATGGTAGCACATCTTTCCCATGCTATTCTCATGACGGTGAATAAGTCTCTTGAGATCTTACAGTTTTATAAAGGAGAGTTTCCCTACACAGGCTCCCTTGCCTGCTTCCATGTAATACATGACTTTACTTCTCATTTGCCTTTCATCATGATTGTGAGGCCACCCCAGCCATGTGTAACTGTGAATCTATTAAACCTCTTTCCTTTATAAATTATCCAGTCTCAGGTATGTCTTTATTAACAGCATTACAACAGGCTAGTACAGTATCCTAAAAGTATAAAATCCTAGAATAAAATCAAGAGAATAGAACATAATTGAACTAAAGAGCTTCCGTGCAACAAAAGTAAGTATCAACAGAATAAACAGATGACTTACAGAATGGGAGAATATAATTGCAAGCTACTCATCTGATAAAGGTCTAATATCAAAAATCTGTAAGGAACTTAAACAAATTGACAAACCATACACAAGCAACTCCATTAAAAAATGGGCAAGGGACATCAAGAGAGAATTCTCAAAAGAATATATACACAGGGATGTGTTCAAGATGGTCAACTAGATGCAGTCAGGATGTGCAACTGCCACCAGGGGAACACCAGGTTTTTTATCATACCATCATAATTTGAACAGATCTTTGGAGAGAAAATGCTGAATGTGGATGGAGAAAAGGAATAGTCACTGAGGCTGAAGCAGAAGAAGGCTGAGAACACTGAATGGGGTGCCTTAATACAGCTGATTCTCTGCCCTGAACAGTTTCTAGGGAAGACCTGAGTGAAAGGACTAGTAGATAGCTCCCTCTCACTGTAGACATCTGGAATCCTGGCTAGATGGGGCTCCATACCTTCAGGGACATGTGGACTGGCAGAGGGGTCTCCCAGAGATTACACAGAGATGAAGCTGCAGACAAAAAGCCAGGGACTTTTGTGCATAGGTCACCTCTGGTGGAGCCCAACCATAAGTGCCCACATACCATGCACATCTATTTCTAATAGGTTCTGGCCTTAGCTAACCAATGGGGAGACAGGAGGACCTACTTTCAAATGGAACTGTGACACATATGTTCTGCAGGAATACCGGCCCACCAGAACCCTCAACCCCATGGCCCCTCTCTGGCTGCCCCATAGAAGCTTGTACACAGTACAGCGTCTGTTTGCCAGTTTGAGTGCTTTGCTCCATCTGAATGCATTCTGGCACTTTGGAAGCCCTTCAGGTTTTACACTGCACCCAAAATCCAACCCCAAGTGACCACAGCAGTGAGCTACAAACAGGGTCCCAGTGCCCCAGGGCTGTAGCCTGCAGCTTAGAAGTGCACTGCTGGTGGCTATGCTCATCACTTGAACAAGGAAGGAGACTACACTCTCTGCAGTCTTGGAGAGCTGGGGCACACAAATGCACGGGCTTGTGTAGGTTCCTCCACAGGGTTGTTTCAGTGAAGGTGTGGCCTGTTGTCCTACCAGACTTCTCCCCAAGTGAGCCCCAGTAGACCTGACTATATCCTCAAATATATTCTCCAAGTTGCTAATTCTCTCTACTTCTCTCTCAGGAAAGACAATGAGTCAGAGATTTGGTCTTTTTAGATAATTGTATTTTCTCAGAGGTTTTCTTTATTTTTCTTAATTTTTTTTTCTTTATTTTTGTATGACTGGTTGATTTGAAGAACCAGTCTTCAAGAAGGAGCAGGTCACCTACAGAGTTAATCCCATCAAGCTAGCAGCAGACCTCTCAAGGAAGTTTATAATCCAGAAGAGACTTGGGGCCTGTTTTCAGTGTCCTTAAAGAAAAGGAATTCCAACCAACAATTTTATATCCTCCTGAACTAAACTTACTAACGGAAAGAGAAAAAAAAATTCTTCTCTGGCAAGCAAATGCCGACAGAATATATTTCTAGTAGATCGGCAGTGTAAGAAGTCTTTAAGGGCATGCTACTTATAGATTCAAAAGAATTACCCCTTCTACCACAAAAGCACACTTAAACACATAGTCCACAGGCACTATAAAGAAACTACGCAGTCATGTCTGTATAATAACCAGCTAAACACACCATGAAAGGATCAAAATCACAAATATTAATACTATCCTTGCAGCATATACAGAGACTCTCACTGAATGTACACAGGCTAAACGTACCACTTAAAAGACATAGAGTGTCTGATATGCCAGACACAAGAGTATGTTGTATTCAATAGACCCATCTTACCTGTAATTATACCATAGGTTCGAAATGAAAGGGTACAGTAAAAACTATCCTGCAAACAGAAAATGAAAAAGAGAAGGAGTTACTATTCTTATATAAAACAGACTTTAAGTGAATAAAAATTTAAAAGGACAATGAATGGCCTTACCTAATAATAAAAGATACAATCCAACAAGCAGTTTTTATTGTCCAAAATATGTTCTCATCCAACATTGGTGCAGACAGATTTATAAAACAAGTACTTCTTGGCCTATGAAAAGACTTACCCAATCATACAGTAATAGTGGCAGGAGTTGACACCACATTGACAGCATTAGATAGATTATTGAGGCAAAAACCTAACAAAGAAACTCTGGACTTAAACTTGATGCTTGACCAATTGGACCTAAAGCTCTACAGAACACTCCACCCTACAACCACGTAATATACATTCCACTCATTTTTACATGGAACATATTGTAAGATCAACAACAAACTTTGTCATGAAGCAAGCCTGAATGACTTAAAATAATTGAAATCATACCAAGCACAAATCATAGGTGGGACATAAACTGTCCTGCAAGGAAGAGGACACTATATCATCTTCAAACAATGAAAAAATGCTATCCCTTAACAGAAAGGAATGGACTACTTTTGCAGATTCAGAGTTCAGGGGAGTGTAGATACTGAAGATTTTAACTACAATGAATTATTTCTCAAATGTCTTATAATTTCACTGTATCGAAACTGAGACCCTAAACCTGGTTAGTGATCAGACTAGGCTGGGAATTCAGCTAGAACTGAACTGGTCTTATTTTTAAAATTCAGTCCTGGACTTAAGATTCAGATTCATTTGGTGATGGGGACCAGGTGCTTCTGCATGAAGTGAGAGTCTGTATATGCTGCAGTTAGGGAATCAGGAGTGTAGGAGAGTCAGAGTAATGTGATTTTAAGTTCAGCTCCCTATAAACACACACACCTGCAATGAAGAGTCCAGATGTCCCAATATTCATAACGATATATGCTTTCAAGATAATAACAGTCATGTTTTGATATTTTCACACAGGAAAGTGTCAAGGATAGTTTTCTTGGAATAAATAGAATAATCAATTTTGTCCTGTTGTCTGACCACCCACGACTAGATACAGCTTAATTAATCTTTACAGATACAAGACTTCTATATAAGAAAAACTTAAAACAAAGGTGTTGCATTCAACTCCTTGCCTTCTGAGGATGCCCTACTGTGTAATGTCATAGCTTTTAATAAACTATCTTTTCTCACTGTACTCTGTGACTCACCTTGAATTCCTTCCTGTGTGGAATCCAAGAACCTTCACTTCATGTCTGTATCAAGACCCCTTTTTCCAGTAACACTTCCAAGGAGACATTTCTGGCTTTCACCGTTTGCCTTAATTTGATGGTTATTAGTCCTCACTCTTCTATTATTTTCTCCCAAGCCTTAACTCTGTGGAAAAAAACATTTGCCTGTATTGTGATCATAATTTCTACTGTTCCCATATTGATAAATATGTGATATATCCTAATAACTAATGTTTTCCCCTCAAAAGATTTCCATCATAATTTACCATTACTGAATGTATGAAAAATTTAAATTGTCACATTCCAGGGGCTATTTGTGTTCTCTGTACCAATAGTGATAGGGTTCTCATTACACTTGGTAGTGAATAATCCAACTCTACAATCTCATTTTCTTGTCTGTTCTTTTTTTCTGACCTCTCTTGGTACATATTATCAAATGCTCAGTGCCTTGAAGAAGTAGATTCTAAGCTGAATATTTTTTGAGGGAGATAATTAGGGAGTTTTCCTGGAAATAACATCTGTGAAAAAGTAGGAAGCAGGATTGGACAGTGGAACAAATTAGGACATAATTCAGTGCAATGGTCTGAATGTCTGAATGCCCCCAAAATTCATAAGTTATAATTCTAATAACCAAAATTACTGTATTAGCTGATAGAACCATTTAGGAGGTGTTTAGGTCATGAAGGCAGAGTCCTCATTAATGGAATTAATTCTTTTGAAAAATATGCTCACAATAACTCATTCATCTCTTTCCCCCATTAAGACATGGTGACGAGTTGCCATCTTGGAGGAATGCCCAATACCAGCATCTTGATGGTGAATCTTTCAGCCTCAAGAACTGTGACAAATAAATGTTTGTTGTCTGTAAGCTAGCCAATGTATGGTATTTTTCTATATAGCACCCTGAGCATGCTAAGACATGCAGTCTCAGCATAGGTTTTGTCTCACCCACTGGGAGCTCTGAAGCTGTTAGGCCTTCAGAGTTGGTCCAAACTGAAAAGGGGAGAATGGGCCTTTAGAGTCCTACATGTGACCAGGCATTGGATATGGGCTGTCTTGGAAAGGTCACTATATGCTAGATAGCTTTCAGCAGGGTTGTACTGAGAGAGAGAGCTTATAGGTGAGGTATGTCAGTTGTTCATCACTTCATCAGCTGGAAAGTAATTTCTATATACCCAAAAGGGGAATCTCGGTGACACGTAATGCATGCACTCAAGGACAATAAAAACATTGAACAATATTGACACTCTGCAGGCAATATTTTCTCAGAAACTGGGTTTGAATATCCTTTTAAGAAAGATTTACCTCATTGCAGGTTAACAGACCATTAATAGAATAAAAACATGTTTGTCTATTTTGTCACATGCATCTTTTCCTTCTTAATTCTACTTTGATGGAAATTTCTGGTGAGATTTTTTTCAAAATACAACTTGCCTGAATTACAAGGCAATCTGCAAAACAAGTTCAGGAGTAGGCACTTAGAAGATAAATACTTTCTAAAAGTGAGAAATATAAGGAATGTTGCAAATATTCAGGAAGGGATAAGATTTTGATTTAGGGAAAATATTTTCAAATAAAGCAAAGTAACTGAAATTGTACTTTGTCAGATGCATAACTGGGAAAAATATTCTCTCCTTCTATATGTTGTCTGTTCACTCTGATGATAGTTTATTTTGCTGTGCAGGAGACCTTTAATTAGATCCCATTTGCCCATTTTTCTTTTGTTGTAATTGCTTTTGGTGTTTTCATCATAAAATCTTTGCTTGTTCCTAAGCCTTGAATGGTATTACCTAGATTTTCTTTTAGGGTTTTTAAAGTTTTTGTTGTTACATTACATTTAATTCTTTAATCCACCTTGAGTTAGTTTTCATATAAAGTATTAGGAAGTGGTCTAGTTTTAATTTTCTGCATACAACTAGCCAGTTCTCCCAGTGCTATGTATTAAATAGTAAACCCTTTTCTGATTGTTTTTACAAGGTTTGTCAAAGATCAGATGGTTGTAGATGTGTGGTGTAATTTCTGAGGTCTCTGTTCTACTCCATTGGACTACCTGTCTGTTTTTGTACAAGTATTATGCTGTTTTGGTTACTATAGCTTTGTAGTATAGTTTGAAGTCAGGTAGCATGATACCTCCAGCTTTATTCTATTTGCTTAGGATTGTCTTGGCTCTACTGACTTTTTAGTTCCTTATACATTTTAAAATAGTTTTTTTTTTTCTAATTCTGTAAAGAATGTCAATGGTAGTTCAATGAGAACAGCATTGAATCTATAAATTACTTTGGGCAGTGTGGCCATTTTTATGATATTGATTCTTCCTACCCATGATCAAGGAATGTTTTTCCATTTGTTGGTGTTCTCTGTGATTTCCTTGAGCAGTGGTTTGTAGTTCTTGAAGAAGTCCTTCACTTCCCTTGCTAGTAGAATTCTTAGATATTTTATTTTCATGGTAGCTATTGTGAATGGAAGTTTATTTACTATTTGGCTCTTTGCTTGCCTGTTGTTGGTGTACAGGAAAGCTACCAATTTTTGAACATTGATTTTGTATTCTGAGAATAATGAAGTTGCTTCTCAGTTTAAGAAGCTTTTGGACTGAAACAATGGGATTTCTAGATAAAGAATCATGTTATCTGCAAACAAAGATAATTTTACTTCCACTCTTCTGATTGAATAACTTTTATTTATTTCTCACAACTGATTGACCTGACCAAAACTTTCAATAAAATGTTGAATAGGAGTGGTGAGAGATGGCACTGTGGTCTTGGGCTGTTTTTCAAGGGAAATGCTTCCAGCTTTTGCCCATTCAGTATGATATTGGTTGTGTATTTATCATAAATGGCTCTTATTATTTTGAGGTATGTTCCTTTAATGCCTAGTTAATTTAGAGTTTTTAATGTGAAGAAATGCTGAATTTTATGAAAGGCCTTTTCTGCATCTATTGAGATAATCATGTGTTTTTTGTCTTTAGATCTGTTTATGTGATGAATAACATTTATTGATTTTTGTACATTGAACCAAACTTGTATTCTGAGGATGAAGTCATCTTGATTGTGATAGATAAACTTATTGATGTGTTGCTGGATTTGGTTTGTCAGTATTTTAGAGGATTTTTGCTTTGATATTCATCAGGGATATTGGCCTGAAGTTTTGTCGTTGTTGTTGTTGTTGATGTTGGAGTCCCTCCTTTACGATCATTTGGAATAGTTTCAGAAGAAATAGTATCTCTGTTAGAATTCAGCTGTAAATCTATCTGATCCTGGGATTTTTGTTGTTGTTGGTGGTGGTAGGCTATTTATTACTGCCTCAATTTTTGAACTTATTATTGGTTTATTCAGGGATTTAATGTTTTCCTGGTTCAGACTTGGGAGGGTGTGTGCATCCAGGAATGTATCCATTTCTTCTAGATTTTCTAGCTTATGTGCTAAAGATTTTTAAAGTATTCTCTGATGGTTGTTTGTATATTTGTGGGGTCAGTGGTGATATCCCCCTTATCATTTCTGACTGTGTCTATTTAATTCTTTTAAGTTTTCTTCTTTATTAGTGCAGATGCGGTCTATTTTGTTAACTTTTATTCAAAAAAAAAAAATACAGCTCCTGAATCCCTTGAGTTTTTTGAAGGATTTTGTGTGTCTCTATCTCATTCAGTTCTGCTCTGATCTTGGTTATTTCTTGTCTTCTGCTAGCTTTGGGAAGTTTTCCTCTTGGTCCTCTAGTTCTTTTACTTGTGATGTTAGGTCATTGACTTGAGATATTTGTAGCTTTTTGATATGGGGCATTTAGTGCTCTAACTTTTCCTCTTACCACTGCTTAAGCTGCATCTGAGAGATTCTGGTATGTTGTCTCGTTGTTCTCATTAGTTTCAGAGAACTTCCTAATTTCTGCCCTAATTTTATTATTTACCCAGGAGTCATTCAGGAGCATGTTGTACAAGTTCCACATAGTCTTGTGATTTTGATTGAGTTTCTTAATGTTGAGTTATAATTTATTTGCATTGTGGTCTGGGAGACTGTTTGTTATGATTTCAGTTCTTTTGCATTTGATGAGGAGTGTTTTATTTCCAATAATGTGATCAATTTTAGACTAAGTGCCGTGCAGCCATGAGAAGAATGTATATTCTGTTGTTTTCAGTTGGAGAGTTCTCTAGATATCTATTAGGTCTACTTGATCCAGAGCTGAGTTCAGGTCCTGAAAATCTTTGTTAATTTTCTGTCTCAATGATCTGTCTAATATTGTCAGTGGAGTGTTAAAATCTTCCACTATTATTGTGTGGGAGTCTAAGTCATTTTGGAGGTCTCTAAGAACTGGCTTTATGAATCTGGATGCTTCTTTATTGGGTACACATATATTTAGAATAATTAGCTTTTTTGTTGAATTGAAAACTCATCATCATGTAATGTCTTTTTTTTAATATTTGTTGGTTTAAAATCTGTTTTGTCAGGAACAAAAATTGTAACTACTGCTTTTTTTCTGTTTTCCTCTGCTTGGTAAATTTTCCTCCATCCCTTTATTTTGAGTCTATGTGTGTCTTTTCATGTGAAATAGGTCTCTTGAAGACAACATACTGATGGAGCTTGACTCTTTATCCAGCTTGCCATTCTGTGTTTTTAATTGAGGCGTTAAGTCCATTTACATTTATGGTTAATATTGTGTCAATTTCATCCTGTCATCATGATGGCTATTTTGCAGACTTGTTTACATGGTTGTTTTATAGTGTTACTAGTCTGTGTACCTTGGTGTGGTTTTTGTAGTCACTGGTAACGGTATTTCCTTTCAATAGTTAGTAGTTCCCTCAGGAGTTCTTGAAAGGCAAGCTTGGTGGTGATGAATTTCCTCAGCATTTGCTTGTCTGAAAGGAATATGATTTCCCTTTCACTTATACAGCTTAGTGTGTCTGGTTATGAAATTCTGGGTTACAAAATCTTTTCTTTAAGAATGTTGAATATTGGTCCCAAATATCTTGTGGTTTGTAGGGTTTCCAATGACAGGTTGTTAGTCTGATGGGCTTTCCTTTGTAGGTGACCTGGCCTTTCTCTCTGGCTGCTCTTAACACTTTTCTTTCATTGTGACCTTGGAGAATCTGATGATTATGTGTCTTGAGGTTGATTTTCTCATGGAGCATCCTGCTGGGGTTCTCTGGATATTCTGAATTCAAATGTTGCCCTGTATTGCTAAGTTGGGGACATTCTCCTGGATTATATCTCAAAGTATGCTTTCAAACTTGGTTCCACTATCCCTATCTCTTTCAGGTACCCCAATCAATCATAGGTATTTTTATATAGAGCCATAGTTCTCAGAGGTTTTGTTGATTCCTTTTCATTCTTTTCTCCTCTATTTTTGTCTGCCTGTCTTATTTCAGAAAAATAGTCTGCACACTCTGAGATTCGTTCCTCTGCTTGGTTTATTTGGCTATCAATACTTGTTATTGTGTCGTGAAGTTCTCATGTTGTGTTTCTCAGCTTCATCGGGTCATTTATGTTCCTCTTTAAATGAGCAATTCTGGGTTTGAGCTCCTGTAAATTTTTCTTGAGATGGAGTCTTGCTCTGTCACCAGGCTGGAGTGTAGTGGCATGATCTCAGCTCACTGCAATGTCCACCTCATGGGTTCAAGTGATTCCCCTGCTTCAGCCTTCTGAGTAGCTGAGACTACAGGTGTGCACCACCACACCTGGTTAATTTTTTGTGTTTTAGTAGAGACAGCCTTTCACCATGTTGGCCAGGATCATCTCAATCTCCTGACCTCAGGATCTGGCTGCCTCAGCCTCCCAAGGTGCTTGGATTGCAGGTGTTAGCCACTGTGTCCAGCCCTGTATTGTTTTATTATGATTCTCAGCTTCTTTGTCTTGTTTTATAACATGCTCCTTTAGCTCAGTGTAGTTTGTTATTACCAACCTTCTGAAGCTGACTTTTGTAAATTCAGCCATCTCAGACTTGGCTAAGTTAGGTGCCCTTGCTGGAGAGTTGTTTCAATCATTTCAAGAAGAAGCACTCTGGCTTTTTAAATTTTCAACGTTTTTGCATTGATTCTTTCTCAACTTTGTTGAGGTTGCTGACCTTTGAACGGGTTTTTTATGGGCGTTTTTTTTTTTTTTGTTCATGTTGTTGCTGTAGCTTTCTATTTGTTTGTTTTTCTTTTAACAGTCAAGCCCTCCTTCTATAGGGCTACTGCTGTTTGCTACGGTTCAATCCAGACTCTAATACCCTCTGTTACAGGCTGAAAGAATGAGGGTCCTGACCAACTCAGTATACCACTGGAGCAAACAGAAAACTGTTCTCATGAAAGCAGGATTTGGAAAACTGATGACTGTGTCTGCCCCCAGAAAGAGTGCTGAGGGCAGTCACACCCCAAGCACAGTGTTCCTTGTGATTACCTATAGAAGTATCTGAAGCCTGTTGTACAAAGAAAGCAATTAAGTGTACCTGTGATAAATCAAGCAGCTGACCAACCATTACCTCTCCCTCCCTCCTATTTCTACCTTATAAATACGAAGGGCTGTAGAAGCTTAGATCCCTTGTTCACTAGAAACAAGGAGCCCCCTGTCACCTTCTTTTAAAACAGATCTTTCTGTCTCTGTCTTCATTTCTCTATTCATCCCCCTTCATTCAATCCTGTAGCAACTGGCAGTGACAAGTGGTGCCCAGGACAGGGACATGAGCAAAGAAGGTCTGCTGGAGCAGAGAAAGTGAAACTGACCAGATGAGCAAGAAACCTTGGGACAAGTCTGCTGGCAGCTAATATAAGGTTAGTGCCCTAAAGAGGTACTGGGAATGGGAAGTTTTCTGAATCAGGGTAACATGGGGCAGAATCTATCTATTCAGGAGCAATATTATGTGCAGTTGCTTAAAGTTTTACTTAAACAATCTGGTGCTCAGGTTAGTTCTCAAACATTAACTAAGATGCTGAAGAAGGTCACTGTACATAACCCATGGTTTCCACAGATGGGCACTCTCGATGTGGAAATTTGGAACAGAATAGGAGAAGGATTAAAACGAGCTCATCAAAAAGGTCTTAAAGTTGACCTTTCTGATTTCTCCACTTGGAGTTTGTTTCTTACTGTCTGTCTGCCATTATCTCCTTATTCTGCTGGACAGCAGGAGTCATGTTCTGAGTCTAAAAATTTAAAAGAATCTGTTGTCCCACCCATGCCTCTATGAATCAATGGCCCCTATCACAGGAGAAACTAACTCAACTCTATCAGCTAGTAAAAGAGCAATTGGATGCAGAACATATCGAAGAGTCAGTTAGTCCCTGGAATTCACCAGTATTTGCAATTCCAAAAGAGTCATTAATGCACAAATTAAACCAATGGGCACATTACAGCAAGGTCTGGCATCCGCGGCAGCCATTTTAATGGACTGGCCTCTCTTAGTAATAGATCTTAAAGATTATTTCTTTACTATACCCTTCCACGAGAAGGATGAGCCTCGATTTGCCTTCTCTGTGCTTTCTATCCATCAAAGACAACCTGGTTCTCATTATCAATGGAAAGTTTTACCACAAGGCATGCTTAACAGTCCTGTGCTATGTCAGCATTTTGTAGGACAGGCATTAAAGGAGCCTCGGAATATGTTTCCTACTGCTTACATCGTTCATTATATGGAGGATATTCTTTTGGCCACTCCTACAGATCAAATTTTACATCAGTTATTCAGAGAAACAAAACAGGCTTTGATTAAATGGAATCTCAAAATAGCTCCAGAAAAGGTGCAAACAACCTCCCCACATCGGTACTTAAGCACTATTGTTACTGAAAGAAGTGTTCGACTTCAGAAAGTAACTCTCCGTAGGGACAGATTACAAACACTGAAAGATTTCCAACAATTGTTAGGGGATATTAATTGGCTGCACCTGATGATAGGTATTGCTACTTATCGACTCAAACACCTTTATCAGACCCTCCAAGGAGATTCTTCATTAGACTCTCCTTGGCAACTTACTAAGGAGGCAGAAGCTGAATTACAGCTTGTAGAACAAATGCTTCAGTGAAGACATGCCTCCTGGCTACAGCCACAAAAGCCTTTGTTTCTGTTTATTCTTCCAACCCCCTACTCTCCAATAGGACTTTTGGGCCCATTTATAGACAAGTTTGTAACGGTAATAGAATGGCTTTTTCTATCCAATCAAACAGTAAAATCTTTACAAGTTTATCTTTCTTTAATTACTCAACTTATAACTATGGATAGGCATCGATCAAAAATGTTTACAGGATATGACCCAGACAAAATTATTGTTCCCTTGGATTTCCAACAACAGGCTGCAGCATGGGAAATGTTGACTGCTTGGCAAATTGCTCTTGTGGATTTTGTAGTAATAATAGACAACCACTATCCATCAGGCAAGTTTTGCAATTTTGTAAAGTTCACCCTTTTATCCTCCCTGTGATTACTTATCACAAGCCTATTCCAGGTGGCCAGACTTATTTCACTGATGGCTCTTCCAAAGGCTGAGCAGCTATTTATGGACCTAAGCATACTCAAACAATAAAAACCTCTGGAGTTTCAGCTCAACACTCAGAATTAATGGCAGTTATTGAGGTTTTACAGCTCACTGCTTCAACTCCTATTAACGTTGTCTGTGATTCAGCCTATGTTGTAAATGTAGCCAGTCACATTGAGACTACCACTATTAAAAGCACCCTAGAACCAGAGCTGTTTAACTTGTTTCTAAGACTTCAGCAAGTTATTCATTCTTATGCTGCTCCTTTACATATTTCTCATATTCACTCTCACACACAACTTCCTGGACCACTATCTGTAGGCAATGACAAAGCAGATAAATTGATTGACTCTGTGTTTCAGCAAGCTCAAGCCTTTCATACATTATTGCATCAAAACACCTCACCCTTACTTGTATGTTTCATCTGCCTCGTAGCCAGGCTTGAGCTATTGTGCAAGCCTGTCCCACTTGCCAGTATGTCCCTGGTGATATACCCATAAAAGGATGTAACCCACGAGGCTTAGCTCCAAATGAAATCTGGCAAATGGGTATTACACATATAGCAGCCTTTGGCAAGCTTAGCTGTGTTCATGTGACTGTAGACACTTACTCTCATATGTTACATGCTATGTGTCAAACAGAAAGAGCTGGCCATGTACAGCGGCTTTGTTTATTGTCATTCACCCATATGGGGTTCCCAAACCAATAAAATCTGACAATGGACCTGCTTATGTTAGTCATGCTTTTCAAATTTTTTTATAGTTATGGGAAATTACTCATAAGACAGGAATTCCTTACAATCCCTGAGGACAAGGCATTATAGAGCTGGCACATCAAACATACATTACATTTATTAATGTAATTGATGTAACTAACATACAGTGTATGTTGAAAAAAACAAAAAGGGGGAGTAGGAGACCAGCTACCACCTCAAATAAAATTACATTTAGCCTTATTTACTTTAAATTTTTTAGCTCCTGTTACAGATAATAAGACTCCGGCGGAATGACAGTGGCAAATGTTAAAGGGAAAAAAGAAAGTTTACCTAAAGGTATTATAGAAGTCCCCAGAAGAAGGGCAATGGAAAGGCCCAGTAGATTTACTAACGTGGGGATGAGGGTATGCTTATGTTTTTACAGGACATGGACAAACTGTGTGGGTTCCCCCACCATGTATGTGACCATGGAATGGGAGACTGGAGGGACCCATGGATCCCAACCATGGGCCCAGCTCCTCCAATATGAGCCATGAGCCAGTTGAATCTGAATGCAAAGACATGGGGACAGATCAAGAAAACCACACAAAAAGCTGAGAAACTGCTAGAGCGTCAGGGTGAGGCAAAAACCCCTTACTCCAAGTTTATGGCCATGTCAGCTGTAATATCCTGTGCAGTATGTTTTCCCTGTGCAGAGGCAAAAACATATTGGGCATATGTTCTTAACCTCCCAGTAGTATGACCGGTACTCTGGACTGGCAATCCTCCTGAGTTATATCATGATCAAGGAGTATGGGCACCAGGACCCTTAACTCCCCCTGACACAGAGCAATTAGACTCTCAGGACAATGGTATCAATTATACTGCTCCATTGGAGGGACTTCCTTTATGCATCACCCAGGATACATCACTCAACTGCAGTTTCCTTGCAATTTAATCCCAGGCATGATTGAGTTACCATAGAAAATATATGTGCCACGCAGCCATGTATACAAATGTAACAAACCTGCACATTGTGCACATGTACCCTAGAATTTAAAGTATAATTTAAAAAATTGTCTTTCCTGACACCTGGCTTTTCAAATTAGGAAAAAGCTGAAGTTTCAAACAAGTGGTAGAAAAATTCTGAAAATTAATCTTGCAGAATAGGTTATCTATGTGAATATATTAACTAAATTCAAAAGAGTTATAAAAGGTTTTTGCTTCTTTAACGTTTCTGAGTCATCATTTTGGCAAAATAAATGACTTACAGTAATTTGGAATTCTGTTTTACAATATCAAATGCTTTAAATATACTAAAAAGGCTTTCCAAAATCAAACTTTGGTTTCAAAATTGTCTTTCCTCACATGCACACGTATGTTTACTGCAACACTATTCACGATAGCAAAGACTTGGAACCACCCCAAATGTCCATCAATGATAGACTGGATTAAGAAAATGTGGCACATATACACCATGGAATACTATGCAGCCATAAAAAAGGATGAGTTCATGTCTTTTATAAGGACATGGATGAGGCTGGAAACCATCATTCTCGGCAAACTGTCGCAAGGACAAAAAACCAGACACCTCATGTTCTCACTCATAGGTGGGAATTGAACAATGAGAACACTTGGACACAGGAAGGGGAACATCACACACTGGGGCCTGTCATGGGGTGGGGGGAGGGGGGAAGGAAAGCATTAGGAGATATACCTAATGTAAATGACGAGTTAATGGGTGCAGCTCACCAACATGGCACATGTATACATATTAACAAACCTGCACGTTATGCAAATGTACCCTAGAACGTAAAGTATAATAATAAAAAAAAGAAAATATTTGTGCCTATTGGGCCTCAGCTCTATTAATATTTCTGGTGCAGTTACTAATCACTCCTGGTCTCATCGCCCAAATTGTATTAATTATACAGAATGGGTTCCCTTTGATAATTCTAACTCCCCTCCTTGGACCCAGTGTCTTGGCTCCCTAGCTAGACAACAGTCCATGCTGATGGGAGACATTATTGACTGGGGTCCCCATGGTCACTTGGTTGGGAGAGATGAGCATCAGACCTCATGGCATGAACTTCACTGCCACTGGTGGCAAAACTTTAACATCTCTTTGCCACGTCACATTGGGATTCAATCCGAATCTGCTGCGCAAATTACTTGGCATGGCGCAGGCCTTAGCCCACCTTTGCCTCAATGGCATTCTCAAGGAAAGAGAGGTCCAATCCAGAATTCGATATGCAAAACAGCATTCCCATTTATTAATGGCAGCATTTGAGTTGGGACATTATTCAATAATAATAACAGTGCTAAATGCAGTTTTAATATGATCATGGTAGAAAATATTACCACTCAATTTATAATTTGTGCTTTAATTCTTACGTTTTCTTAGTAGCAAAAAAGGACCAACTCCAGGTGGATGATGCCCAGTCGACTTGTGATTCCTGTCAACTTTATCATTGCCTTAATCAAAGCACAATACAGACACATGATATATCCACCCTAATAATTCTAGATTGCATTCCCAGATTATGGATTCCTGTAAATCTGTCTGAACCTTGGGTGGCCACCCCCATTTTACATCTTATAAAACTCTTTTTTACTCAGCTTACTCATCGTGCTCGTAGAGCCTTAGGCATGATAATTGTTGCTATAGTCTCCTTAGTTACATTGATAACCTCTGTTGTGATGTCCTCAGTAGCAATGCATCGCTCTATTCAAACAGCTCAATATGTAGAAAATTGGACATGCACACCTGGCCAGGCATGGATGCTTCAAAATAAAATTAACGCTGAAACATAAACAGAGGTGGCAATGTTAAAGGCTACTGTTCTTTGGCTAGGAGAACAAATACAAAGTTTGCAGTTGCATCAGCAATTGCATTGTCATTTTAATCATACTCATATTTGTGTGACCAATTTGGAATATAACCAAAGTGAATATTCCTGGAGCCTTGTAAAGGCCCATTTACAGGGAGCTTTCACATCCAATGTTACTTTTGATATTAATGATTTACAAAGTAAAATCCTTAACTTCGATAAGCAAACTCAAGTGTTTCAGCCCTGTTTAAAAGCTTGGGCAGAATTCCAACAAGGTTTAGAGAGCCTTAACCCTTGGACCTACCGCAAACAGCAACTCAATGTCTTTGTTGTTACTATTGGATTAATGTTATTATGTTTCTGTTTTTTTTCATAGTCTTCAAAATCAGGTGGACCACCAAATGGCAATTGAGAGCTGCAGAACCTGCAATTACCTTTATTCAATTAATGAAAAAACAAAAAGAGGGAGATGTTACAGGCCAAAAGAATGAGGGTTGTGACCAACTCAGCATACCACTGGAGGCTATATGAGCAAACAGAAAACTGTTCTCATGAAAGCAGGATGTTGGAAAACTGATGACTATGTCTGCCCCCAGAAGGAGTGCTGAGGGCAATCACACCCCAAGCACAGTGTTCCTTGTGATTATCTGTAGGAATATCTGAAGCCTGTTGTACAAAGAAAGAAATTATGTGTACCTGTGATAAATCAAGCAGCTGACCAACCATTACCTCTCCCTCCCTGCCCTTTTTACCTAATAAATATGAAGGGTTGTAGAAGCCCAAAGCCTTTGTTCACTAGGAGCAAGGAGCCCCTGACACCTTCTTTTAAAACAGATCTTTTTGTCTTTGTCTTCATTTCTCCATTCATCTCCCTTCACCCAATCCCATAGCAACTGACAGCAACAGCCTCGGTCTCTCACACACCTGGAGGTATCACCAGTAAAGATACCTCCTTTGGCTGGGGGTTGGGACTCCCCTGGCTTGTGCCACTCTGGGGTGGGCTGTCACCCCACTCTGCTTTTTCTCACTCTCTGAGTTGTGCCAACTGCTAAGTCAGTCCCAATTTGAGAATCTTAATTCCTCAGTTGAAGTTGCAGAATTTATTCACTGTTTTCATTCTTCTCCATGAGAGCCATGGACCACTGCTGCTTCTAATCAGCCATCTTGGCCCACCCCCTCTATTTCACTCTTAAAAGTACACAAAAATTTTAAAAAAGATCAACAAGGAAATAGAATACTAGAAGAACACTATAAATCTTCTAGCTCTAACACACATCTATAACACACTCCAAAAAGCAGCTACATATTTAATATTATCAAGTGCATATTAATATTTCCAAAACAAATCATCACTTGACCGGAAAAGCCTCAATAAATTTAAGAGGATTGAAATAGTATGTGTTATTTTCTGAAAATACAAAGGAATAACCTTCAATATCAGCAGTTTTAAAAAATTGAGAAATTCACAAATGATTACACATTAAACAACATAATTCAAAATAACAAAGATAAAATCAAAAGAAAACAGAACAAAGTTTAAGAATATTAAAAACAAATACGCCAAAATTTATTAAAAAGCAATATTTAGAGGACAATTTATGACCTTAAAATGCCTACATTAATAAGACAAAAATTTTTAATTAATATGCAATTTTATACTTTAAGGAACTAGAAAAAATGAACAAACCCCCCAAAGCAGAAGAAAAGAAATAGTGATTATTGCTAAAATAAGCAAATGAAAGAATAAAAACAACAAAGGAAATAAAACCAAAATTTGGTACATTCAAAAGATTAACAAAATTAAATAAAACAAAGAGTATTTATGTAGACTTACCTCTCATAAAAGAGAAGACTCCCATTATTAAAATCAGATATGAAAGACTACACATTACTACACACTATACAGAAATACAAAATATTACAGTACATTGCTAGGAGCAAATGCATACCAACAAATCATATAACTCAATAAAATGAGCAAATCTCTCAAAAGACACTAACTATGTATGATATGCAATCGACAGAAACTGAAAATAGAAATAGACTTATAATAAAAAATAAAAATATTCAATAAAACCAGAATGATGTTAAATGTCATGAAACTGATAAAAGACAGCTATGAAAAGTCTAAAACTATTATTATGTGTATCAGTGAAATACTACCTAAGATAAAAAACAAGATGAAGAGATCTATTTATCATTTTAGGACAATATTCCATTGTATATTTAAGCTAAGGCAATTAGACAATGACAGAAAATAAGAAACATGCATATTGAAAAAGAAGTTAATACAATTACATATGTCAGTACATGATATAACTTTACATAGAGAATATCTTAATAAATCTAGTATAAAATATTAGATCAAAAACAAATAAATAACCTTGTCAGGATAAAAGATTGATATATAAAAATCAATATATTTACATAATTCTAATTATCCAATATAAAATAATACAATTGCACTGAAAATGCCATAAAATATATTGCACAATATAAATGCCACAAAAAATAATTGCACAACTATGATGGTTAATTTTATGTGTCAACTTGACTGGTTTAAGAGATTACCAAATAGCTAAAAAAAAAAAAATTATTTCTGGATTTATCTGTGAGAGCATTTCATTTTTCCTCCTCTAAATTCAACTTCTTCATGAGTAAATTTCATGTCACAGGGTTTTTGTGTAAAAATTATTTCATCACCAAGATAGTTAATACAGTACCTGGTAGGTAGTTTTTTGATTCTCATAGATCTCTCATTCTACACTTTCACATATTTCCCATTGCCTATTATTCCTTTCTCTTTGTCCATAGGTACTCAATGTTTAGTTCCCACTTACAACTGAGAATATGTGGTATTTGGTTTTCCTTTCTGGTGGTAATTTGCCTAGGGTAATGAATTCCAGCTGCATCTGTGTTGCTCAAGAGACATGATTTTGTTTTTTTTTTCATTGCTGCATAGTATTCCATCATTTATATGTGTACCATATTTTCTTTATCCAGGCCACCATTGTTGGGCATATAGATTGATTCCATGTTTTTGCTATTATGAATAGTACTGTGATGCTGTTGATAAACGTAGGTGTGCATGTGTCTTTCTGGTAGAACAACTTACAGTCCTTTGGGTATATACCCAGTAATGGGATTGATGGGTAAAATGGTAATTCTGTTTTAGGTTATTTGAAAAATCTTCAAACTGCTTTCTACAGTGGCTGAACTAATTTACATTCCCACGAACAGTGTATGAGCATCCTCTTTTCTCCCTAATCTTGCCAACACCTGTCATTTTGTGCTTTTTAATAATATTCATTCTGACTAGTGGGAGATGGTATCTTATAGTGGTTTTTATGATTTTCATTTCTCTGATGATTAGTAATGTTGAGTATTTTTTCATATGCTTGTTGGCCATGTGTACTTATTCTTGAGAAGTGTCTGTTCTCTTTTGGCCACTCTTTAGTGGGATTTTTCTTTTTTGCTTGTTAATTTGTTTAAGTTCCTTCTAGATTCTAAACATTAGTCCTTTGTTGGATGCATAGTATTGAAATGTTTTCTCCTATTCTGTAGGTTATCTGTTTATGTTATTGAATGTTTTTCTGTGCACAAGTTCTTTAGTTTAATTAGGTCTCACTTGTCAATTTTTTTTTGTTACAATTTCCTTTTGGGGTAATTGTCATAAAACTTTGGCCAGGGCTTGTATCCAGGATGGTATTTCTGAGGTTTTCTTCTCATATTTATATAGTCTTAGATTTTACATTTAAGTATTTAATACACCTTGAGTTGATATCTGTATGTGGTGAAAGGAAGAGGTCAAATTTCAGTCTTCTGCATATGACTATACAATTACCACAGCATCATTTATTGAATAGAGGGTTATTTCTTCATTGCTTGTTATTCCTGACTTCATTAAAAATCAGGTGGCAGTAGGTGTGTGGCTTTATTATTTGGTTCTCTATTCTGTTCCATTGCTCTATGTTTCTGTTTTTGTATTACTACCATGCTGTTTTAGTTACTACAGGCTTTTAATATCCTTTGAAATTAGGTAATTTGATGCCTCTGGCTTTCTTCTTTTAGTTTATGATTTATTTGGCTATTTTGGGGTTTGTATGAATTTTAGGATAGATATTTTTATGATTCTGTGACAAACGTTACAATACTTTAAAAAGAGATTAGTATTTAAATCAGTAGACTGACTAAAGATATCTCTCATGATTGTGGGCAGGTATCATCCAATCTGTTAAGAACCCAAATAGAGCAAAAGGCAGAAGAAGACAAATATTTCTCTTTTCTTTGGCTGGGACATTAATATTATTCTGCCTTCTTTATTTGAGGCTTCTGGATATTGGGCCATTGGACACTAGGGTTTGCACTAGTAAACCCCACTTGTAGCTCCTTAAGTTCTAAGGCCATCATCCTCAGACAAATAATTACACAACTATTTCTCCTAGTGCTAAGGCCTTCAGTCTCAGATTGAATTACAGCATCAGCTTTCCTAAATATAAAGTGTGTAAGTGTATATCATAATATTTCTCAGCCTAAGCAAATTCCTACAATAAAATCCTCCCTCATAGGTGTGTACTAATGTGTGTGTATACATACATGGCTCTTTTTGTCTGGAGACACCTATTATGAAGATTAACTCATTTTTTTCTAAAATAAGGAAAAGACTAGACATTCATTCTTATTACTTCTATTCAACATTATATTGGAGATTCCAGCCAAAGCAAATAGGAAGTAACACGAAACAAAAATAATCCTTATTAGAAGGTAAGAAATAAGTACACTCTCTTTGTTGACAAAAGGCATGACCTTATGTAAAGAATATCTTAGACTTTCCTAGAAAATATTAGATCAACAACAAAATAAGCACATTTTTAGGACTAACGGTCAACCTTCAAATATTAATTGTATTGTTACATAATTGAACAATACAGAAGAAAATAACATGTTCAAAAATCCTACATAAAATATAATCAAAAATTATTTTTAAAAAACAGGAAAAACATTAAAAGAATTGCAAAACTTAGGCCAGGTGCAGTGGCTCATGCCTGTAGTCCCAGCACTTTTGGAGGCCGAGGCAGGCAGACCATGAGGTCAGAAGTTCGAGACCAGCCTGGCCAACATGGTGAAGCCCCAGCTCTACTAAAGATATAAAAAATTAGCCAGGCGTGGTGGCATGAGCCTGTAATCCCAGCTACTTGGGAGGCTGAAGCAGGAGAATCACTTGAACCTGGGAGGTGGAGGTTGTAGTGAGCTGAGATGGCACCATTATACTCCAACCTGGGTGACAGAATGAGACTCCATCTCAAAAAATAAAATAAATTGCGAAACTTAAAACTTAAATTGTAAAAGTTACTAAATATTGAGGAATAAAATTCTTAATGAATAAATAAAATCTCATATTCCTCAATTGAAAATCTTAATTAATAAACAAATTAACCAAAATCCATATTAAATTCCCAGCTGGGTTCTTTACAGAAATAAACATGCTCATTCTAAATTAATATAGATATACAGGAGACCAAAAAATAGCGAGATATATATATATATATATATATATATATATATACATACAAATACACATACGTGTGTGTGTATATATACTATATATATACACACTATATATATACACACTATATATATATACACACTATATATATACACACTATATATATATATACACACACACTATATATATATATATATATATATATATATATATATATATATATGTATAATTTTTTTGAGACAGAGTCTTGCTCTGTGGCCAGGCTGGAGTGCAGTGGCACAATCTCAATAACCAGTAATATTTTGAAAAATAGTTTAGTCCTTGCATTTCCTATTTTCAACCAACAACATATCATCAATAGTTATAAGAGTGTGACACAGGAACACAGATCACCATATAAATAAATGGAACAGATTTTAGAATCCAGAAATCCTTTTACACAGTGGTGACTTAATTTTTGAGAAAGACGTCAAACTATTGAATAGGAAAACAACAATATTTTCCACAAATACTTCTGGGAGACTGATTATCCAAAGGCCAAAGAAAACAAGATACACTTTCTCTGACAACACATAAAGAACTAATTTAAAATACATCAACAACCCAAAGTTAACAAACAGAAGTACAAAACCCAGAATAGAAAAAGTAAATCTTTTCTACCTTCAATTTGGCAATGGTTTCTAGGACAAGGCAACAAAGTCACAAAAAACTAAGTTAAAATGGATAAACTGATATTCTTATAAATGAATATGTTTGTTCTTGAAAGGACACCATCAAAAAAGTGTACTGGTGATAAGTAGAATTTAAAAAGTTCTAATTCATATATCTGATAAGAAACGTTTATTAAGAATATACGGAGCAAGAGACTTCTGGTTCCAAAATGGCAGAGTAGAGACAAGCAGCCTTTTTTTCTTCATGCAAAACAAAACAAAACAAACATATGGCACTGAGATCTACACCACAACAACCAAAAGCTTAATTAAGAGGATAACACATTTCCCAGTGTCATAAAAGTAGAAAAAGTCTGAGTAGACACTACATAGGGGAATTATATGTCTATGTCTACATTAATAATGCCCCTAACTTGCAACTCTGCTCTGCACCAAAAACGCAGAATATCTATCTCCAATTCATGATTTACAATATGATTTGGATCTGTGTCCCCACCCAAATCTCATTTTCAGTTGTAATCACCAGTGTTGGAGATGGGTTTTCTGGGAGGTGATTGGATCATCGGGTGGATCTTTCATGAATGATTCAGCACTATCCCTTTGGTGCTGTTCTTGTAACAGCATTCTCAAGAGATCTGTTTGTTTAAAAGTGTGTAGCACCTCCTACAACTCCCTTCCTCTTGCTCTGGCCATATGAGGTGTTGACTGCCCTTTTGCCTTCCACTATGATTGCAAGCTTCCTGAGGCCTCCTGAGAGGTAGAAGCCACTATGCTTCCTGTATAGCATACAGAATGTGAGGCAATTAAGCCTCTTTACTTTACAAATTACTCAATGTCAAGTAATTTTTATATAAATGAGAGAAAGACAAACTGATATGGTCACTAAGCTTCCCCATCTTATCAAGTTCCCTGGTAGACCTGTCTTTCCTTAACCCAGTGGAAATGTTATGAGTGCATGAAGGGAGAAACATTCCTGAGGACAGGCAGAGACAAAAAAGAGAGGCAGGACTACCAACCTCTTAGACATGGAAACTCTTCTCCGTAACTCAGCCAAAAATTGACCTCAAATCAGAGTAGTTGCTTAGCAACAGCATGCTGTAGGACGTAAGTTCTTTAGGTATACTGGGAACAAGCCCTTAGGCAGTGTTCTCACACTTCCAGGATAATCCATTTGGAACCCCCATCACTTGGGACAGGCAGAGCTCTAATCATTCACATGAGCTGAGGTAAACCTGGGCTTAACATGTCACCTAGAACTAAAGTGAATGCAGTGACTTTTCGGTAAAGATTTTCTAAGCAAATATATTCCATTAAAAAAAGACAGAAAAAAATGGAACAAATAATCCTTCAATGCAAAGGCATGCATATATTCACAAGAAACAACAGAGAACAGGGAACCAGGACCTCTCCAAAAGGACAATGCAAAAATCTAGTGATTGACACTAATAAGATAATCCAATTTCTGAGCTCTCTGACCCAGAATACAAAATAGCAGTTTTAAGAAAACTTAGTAATGTCTAAGTTAACACAGGAAGTTATTTCAGAAATTTATCCGAGAAATTTAACAAAAAGGTTAAAATAATACAAAGAAATCAATCAGAAATCTTGGAACTAAGAAATGCATTTGCTGAATTCAAAATCCATTAGAGGTCTTAAACCACAGAATGATCCAAGCCCAGAAAAGAATCTGTGAGCTCTAAGACTCGTTATTTTATTTTTAAAAAGTCAAGAGAGAATAAAAAAGCAAGTGCCACCTACAAAATATAGAAAATTACTTCAAAAGACCCAGTCTAAGAATTATTGGTGTTCAAGAGAGATGTGAGTAAGAGCAAGGGTAGAACGCTCATTCAAAAAAATAGTAACAAAAAACTTTTCAAAACTTGAGAAACATAAAATGTCCAGGTACAGAAAGATCTTAGAACACAATGCAAACCCAAATAAGACTACCCCAATTAACAAAATAATCAAAGTCACAAAGGACAAAAAAAAATACATTAAAGAAAAAAGATTGAAATCAGCAAGTGAAAGCAAATAACATATAAAACAGCGCCAATATTTATGGAGATAGACTTCCCAAAAGAAACTATACAGACCAGGAAGGACTGGAATGATGTTTTCAAAGTGCTCAACACAAAAGGATGCCACCAAAAAATATTGAAACAAAAATAATTATCAATCAAATATAAATGAGAGATGAAGTATTTACCAGGCAAACAAAACATAGAATTGACCACTGAGCTAGTCAGAGGAGAAGGAGGTCCCCAGAGAATCTCCAACAAGCCTGTGCACTGGGAGGAATGTGCACTGGGGTGGAACCTCAGGAATTTTGCACTGTTTGCAACAGGGAGGAGCCCGGCAAATATCCCATGTGGAACCTGGGATTCAAGCTGCTAGTGGGAAGCACTCTGGCAGGGGTCTCCAGCCTTGTGGAAGATCCCTGTTTCCCCTTTTTTTTTCCTTTTCACCCAATAAAACCCTGCTTTACTCACCTGTTGAACCATCTGCCAGCCTAAATTTTCGTGGCCCTGAGATGGACAAAGACACCATTGCGTTATTTAGTCCACCTATTTACACTGTAATGACATCTGCTTTTTACCATTAATCTTTAAGCCTCTTCCTATTTCTCAAAGATTAAAGTCACGTGAACTGAACGGTACCACAGTTTTTAACTTCTCTTTAAAAAATATTAGATGCAAGTGTTTGTCTTTTTCAGGCCAAAATCATTTAGAGCTCTTTCTGCAGACATTACACATAACACACACGCAGACAGGCAGGAGAAAACCCAGTTCCTGGATGGGGTTTTATAAGAGCCAGGCCAAGGAAAACATGCAGATATCAAACCTGAAAAAGAGTCAGTCCCTAAGGCAGGATAAGCCCCTACTTTGTGCAACAAAATGCACAGTGCAGGTGAGTGTGGCTGTTTCCTGCCAATTAAGTGAAGCCCAAGCTCCCTGGTTCATGGATAAAAGCCTTGTTAGTATCCATGGCATAGATGAGGTCTAGGGACTCCCAGACTACTGAAAGCAGGGGAGATAGGGTGTATGTGGGTAAGTGGGTAAGAGTGAATGTTCTCACCCCCTAGGCCCCACTGGTTCATGGGTGCATGTTGCTTTGACACCTGTTTCAGCACATACCAAGGTTACCAGCACTCGGGGAAGCAAGGACGGAAGAAGAAAAGAGGATGCTCTTTCTCCCTCATGTACCCCAGGTATCTGCTAGAAAGAGAAGAGAACTAGGGACACCTGCCACCCTCTTCCTAGGTGAGTAGCCATTCACCTTCAGTCTGTACCCATTTTGAATGCATCATGACCCCCTGGGACTTCTTTAAAAGGTGCCTTCTTTTTCCTTTCTTCTCCTCTGTTCTCTCTTCACGGATAGGTAATTATGTCTCCGTATTCTGGGACATTCCCCTCAGATGCATCTTCCAAACTGGAAAGAGTTAACTTTCCAAACCTTAAGCTGGTTGGCTAAAGATTGGGCCCAGAAGAAGGGAACCCAGAAGACCAACATGCCAGCAAAAGGGTATTTTACCAGTCTGGCTTTTGGCCTTTCTCTCCCTGTGCAAAGTGATAAAAGGCCTCAGAATTTTTGAGCTATCCTTACTCCTCCCCTTGTTTCATTTTGATACATGTTTTCTAATAACCTAGTTTGTCTGTTCTTGCCTTCAGGGCATCAAACTCCAAACAATAATGCAAGCAGAGTCTCTGACAATGGCCCTTTCTGCTGGGGGAACTCTTAGATAGGCCTGTGAGTGAGCTCTGACCACCATTTCCCAAAAACAGCACCCCTTGTCAGCAGGAAGCAGTAAAGATTGATCTTCCTTATGCTCTTTCAAATAGCATTCAGATATACTTCTTTACAAGGGGGAAAGAGACAGCCAGGTAGGAGGTGGTCCCCAGAGAATCTCCAAAGAGCTTGAACACTGAGAAGAATGTTCACTGGGGTGGAACCTCAGCAAGTTTGTGCCATTTGCAGTGGGGAAGAGCCAGGCCCCTCCTCTTTCTGTGTGGAAGCTGGGATTCAAGCTTTGGGCAGGAAGCACTCTAGCAGGGGGACTCTGGCCTTTCAGAGTCCTCGACATTCAAACCATCTGTGAGCCTAAATTTTTGTGGCCATGGGACAGACAAGGATCCCATCTTTAGCTGAACTAAGGAAAAGTCCTGAGACTCCACCACCAGACCCATCTTGCAAAAAATGCTAATGGGAGCTCTTCAGTCAGAAAGAGTAAAACACTATCATGCAAAAAGTAACTTTTCAAGGTATAAAAACAAGTGGTAAAATTGAGTACATGCAAAAACCCAGAATAAGCTAGTACTGAATTTGTGTTCTGCATTTCACCTATCCCAGAAAACATAACAACTATAGCAACCGGTTAAGAAACAGATGATATACAAATATGTAAATCAAGATAACTATGAGTCAAAATGGGTAGGTGATTGAGTTAAAGTATATACATTTTCTGTGACTTTTGCCCTTATTTATTTTATAATTTTATTTGCAATCTAAGTTGTGATCTCTTTAAAATAACATGCCATATCTCTAAAATGGTTTTCTGTAAGTCTACTGGTAACCACAGTTAAGAAATCTATCATTGATGTACTTAAAAAGCAGCAACTTGAAATATACTACCAGAGACAATCACCTAATTATGAAGAAAGACAGGAAGGAAGGAAGAGAGGAGTCTAAAAACAAACAGTAAACAATCAACAAAATGGCTCTAGTAAGCCTTACTTGTCAATAATAAAAATGGATGTAAATTGTCTCAGTTCTCAGTTAAAAGACATAGAATGGCTGAATAAAGAATCATGCTGCCTTAAAGAAACCCACTTCACTTATAAAGCCATACATAGACTGAAAGTGAAGGGATGGCAAAATATATTCCATGCAACTAGAAACCAGAAAAGTACAGGTGTAGTTATAAACAGATTACAAATCAGACGGGAAAAAAAAAACAAAAAACAAAGACAGTAACTACATGATAATGAAGGGGTCAGTTTAGCAAGATTTAGTCATTATACTTACCAAAACCTGAGCTCTCAAGCATGTAAAGCAAACATTAACAGACCTAAAGGCAAAACTAGCATGCAACACAGCAATAGTAGGAGACTTTAACACCCCATTCTCTGTAATGGAAAGATTATCCAGGAAGAAAATCAACACAGAAACATCAGAGTTAAAGTACACACTAGATATGAAGGGCCTAACTGACATATACAGAAAGTTTCACATAATTGCTGTAGAATAGACATTCTTTTTATTAGCACAAAAAATGTCTCCCTTAATTCTATGATAGGCTACCAAACAAGCCTGTACAAATTCAAAAACACAAGTATCATATGAAGTATATTTTCTGACCACAATGAAATAAAACAAAAAATAAATTAAAAGAAGAATCTGGAAAACAGACATGAACACATGGAAATTAAACATACTGCTAAATGACAAACATGTCAATGAAGTTATTAAGAAGAAAATTTAAAAATTTTGTGAGACAAATGAAAATGGAAGTACAGCATACCAACGTCTATGGAAGATGGCCAAAAAAACTGTAAGAAGAAAGTTTCTTGTAACAAACATCTGTATCAAAAAAGTTGAAAGACTTCAAATAACCTAATACTATACATCAAAGAACTAAAAAAGCAGGAACAAACCAAACCCAAAGCTAATAGAAAGAAAGAAATTATAAAGACCAGAACGCAGTTAAATAAATTTGAGGCTAAAATAAACACAATACAAAAGATCTATGAAACAAAAAGTTGTTTTTTTGTGAAGATGATGGAGAAGAAAAGAGAAAATCAGTTAAGTAAACAATTAAGGCTGGTCCTCAAAAATGCTGCCTTCCTGAAAACTCACAACTACAGGAAAAATAGAGCAGCTTGGGGAAAAACTCAGACTGCAGAAGCTGCCTGCCTAAAAAAAAAATCACAGCTACAGTGCACCTGCACAGATAAGCCACAGATAAGCAGGCAAGGCATGCAATGTCCAGCATAGAAACCCTTTGCTCTTTGTATGATTAGTAAGCTCCCAGGAAAAAGTGTCCTCCCCTTTTCAGACATGTACACAGTGGGCTCCATGGGAATTTGCAAAGAGAGGAGGGGGGTGTACCTAAAACAAACCCATCATTATACAAACGCAAGAAACAGCACTTTGTGCTTTCCTGGAGACATATCCACAATGACAGAGAATAACTGGGAGATATGCAGGCGGTTTTATAGATAAGAAAAGTTACTCAGTTACAGAGATGAAACTATGCAGGCAGTTTTATAGATAAGAAAAGTTACTCAGTTACAGAGATGAAAGCAGTTCCTCATAAGAGCTTTTGAATACAACCGTAACACAGCAACCATCAGGGAACCCTCTCCACTGCCGAGAGCTTTGTTTTTTTGTTATTAAATTTTTGCTCCAACCTCACCCTTTGTAACCACGCTTCTTAATTTTTTTGGTCCTGAGATCACAAGCTCTGATAACACCTTAGACAACCAGACCAGTGACCCTGACTTGTTTCAAAGATCAATGATGTTAACAAACCTTTAGCTAAGTTAAGCAAGAAAAACATAGACAAGATGCAAATAAAAACCATCAGAAATGGAAAAAGAAGAGACATAAAAACTGAGACCAAAATAATACAAAACTATTAGAATTGTTATGATAAATTAATAGTAAACCTAGAAGAAACATATGAATTTCTGGACTCAAAACTTACTAAGATTGAACTATAAAGCGGTTGAAAACATCAAACAAATAATAATGGGCAAGGGATTGATGGGAGTTAATTTGAATCACGGGGACTGTTTCTTCCATACTGTTCTCATTATAGTGAATGAGTCTCATGAGATCTGATGGTTTTATCTGGGGTTTCCACTTTTGCATCTTCCACATTTTCTGTTGCTGCTACCATGTAAGAAGTGCCGTTCACCTCCTGCTCTGATTCTGAGGCCTCCCCAGCCATGAGGAACTTTAAGTCTAATTAAGCCTCCTTTTCTTTCTTTTTTTTTTTTTTTTTTTGAGACAGAGTCTCGCTCTGTCCCCCAGGTTGGAGTGCAGTGGCGCAATCACGGCTCACTGCAAACTCTGCCCCCCGGGTTCATGGCATTCTCCTGCCTCAGCCTCCCGAGTAGCTGGGACTACAGGCGCCCACCAAGGCGTCTGGCTAATTTTTTGTATTTTGAGTAGAGATGGGGTTTCACCGTGTTAGCCAGGATGGTCTCAATCTCCTGACCTCATGATCTGCACGTCTTGGCCTCCCAAAGTGCTGGGATTACAGGTGTGAGTCACCACACCTGGCCAAGCCTCTTTTTCTTCACAGTATCTGGTTTGTCTTTATCAACAGTGTGAAAACAGAAAAATAGAGTAAATTGGTACTAGTAGGGTGGGGCATTGCTGAAAAGATACCCAAAAATGTAGAAGCGACTTTGGAACTGGGTAATAGGCAAAGATTGGAACAGTTTGGAGGGCTCAGAAGAAGACAGAAAAATGAGAGAAAGTTTGGAATTTCATAGAGACTTGTTGAATGACTTTGACAACAGTATTGGAAATGGTATGGACAATGAAATCCAGGCTCAGGTTGTCTTAGATAGAGATGAGGAACTTGTTAGGAACTAGAGCAGAGGTGATTCTTGTTATGTTTTAGTAAAGAGACGGGTGGCATTTTGCCCTGGGCTAGAGATTTGTGAAACTTTGAACTTGAGAGAGATGATTTAGGGTATCTGACAGAAGAAATTTCTAAGCAGCAAAGCATTCAAGAGGTGACTTGGGTGCTGTTAAATGCATTCCTTTTTGAAAGGAAAGCAGAGCATAAAAGTTTGGAAAATTTGCAGCCTAATAATGCAATAGAAAAGAAAATCTTATTTTCTGAGGAAAAATTCAAACTGGCTGCATGTATTTGCATTAGTAATGAGAAGCTGAATGTTAATCCTCAAGACAATGGGGAAAATGTCTTCCAGGAATGTCAGAGACCTTTGCAGCAGCCTCTCCCATCACAGACCCAGAGGTCTAGGAGAAAAAAATGGTTTCCTAGGCAGGGCTCAGGGTCCACATGCTGTGTGCAGTCTAGAGACTTGGTGCCTTTCATCTCAGCCACTCCAGCCATGGCTGAAATGGGCCAATGTAGAACTCAGACCATGGCTTCAGAGGGTGGAAGCCTCAAGCCTTGGCAGCTTCCACATGGTATGGAGCCTGCAGTACATGGATGTCAAAAATTGGGGTTTGGGAACCTCCACCTTGATTTTAGAAGATGTACGGAAACTCCTGAATGTCCAGGCAGAAGTTTGCTACAGGGGTGAGACCATCATGGAGAAACTCTGCTAAGGCAGTGTGAAAGGAAAATGTGTGCTGTGAGCCCCCACACAGAGTCCCCACCAGGGCACTGCTTATTGGAGCAGCAAGAAGAAGGCCACCATCCTCCAGACCCCAGAATGATACATGCACAAACATCTTGGGCCATGCAACTGGAAAAGCCATAGACACTCATTGCCAGCCCATGAAAGCAGCCAGGGTGGAGGCTGTACCCTGCAAGGCCACAGGGACTGAACTGCCCAAGACCATTGGAATCCTCCTCTTGCATCAGCATGACCTGGATATGAGACCTGGAGTCAAAGGATATCATTTTGGAACTTTAAATTTTTACTGCCCTGGTGGATTTTGGACTTGAATGGGTCCTGTAACCCCTTTATTTTGGCCAATTTCTCCCATTTGGAATGGCTATATTTACCCAATATCTGTAACCCTGTTGTATCTAGGAAGTAACTAGCTTGCTTTTGATTTTACAGGCTCATATGTGGAAGGGACTTGTCTTGCCTCAGATAAGACTTTGAACTGTGGACTTTTGGGTTAATGCTGAAATGATTTAAGACTTTGAGGAATATTGGGGAAGGCATGATAGGTTTTGAAATGTGAGGACATGAGATTTGGAGGGGCCAGGGGTAGAATTATACGGTTTGGCTCTGTGTCCCCACCCAAATCTCGTCTTGAATTGTACTCCCAAAAGTTCCACATTTTTGTGGGAGGGACGTGGTGAGAGTTAATTTGAATCACGGGGCAGTTTCACCCATACCATTCTTGTGGTATTGAATAAGTCTCATGAGCTCTGATGATTTTATCAGAGATTTCCGCTCGTACGTCTTCATCATTTTCTCTTGCCGCCACTTTGTAAGAAATGCCTTTCACCTTCCGTTATGATTCTGAGGCCTCCCCAGCCATGTGGAACTCTAAGTCCAATTAAACCGCTTTTTCTTCCCAGTCTCAGGTATGTCTTTATTAGCAGTGTCAAAATGGACTAATACAAGTATAGATGCAAAAGTCCTCAAAAAATACAAGCAAACTAAACTAATAATACATTAAGAAGATAATTTTCTAGGGTAACACAGAATTCGTGCAAGGGAGGAGGGAAGGATGTTTCAATACATGCAAATCAGTAAACATGACCCACCGTATTAACAGATCCAAGAATTATAGGATTATTTCAGTACATGCTAAAAAAAGCCCATAAAAATCCAAATCCCTATATAATAAATTATAATGGTTTTAGATCATCAAACCATCAAAATGACTTTAGATGAAACATTCTCCAAAATGATAAAGGCCATATATGATCCATGACTAAAATCATACTGAACAAGAAAAAAATTAAAGAATGTTTCCTAGGGACTGGAACAAGACAAAGATGCCCACTGTCAGTCCTCTTATATAACATAATACCAGAAGATGTTGTTAGTGCAATTAGGAGCAAAAAATAATAATAATAAAATAAAGTGCATTCAAATTGGAAATAAATAAGTCAAGTTATTCTTCATTGCATTTGACATAGTATAATATCTAGAAAAACCCAAGGATTTCATTTAAAAATTGTTAGATCTGATAAATAAATCAGTAAAATTGTTCTCTGTAAAATCAGGAAAATCAAAATCATATCAAGTATCTTCTTAGACCATAGTGAAATAAAACTGGAAATTAACACCAAAAAGAACCCTCAAAGCTATATAAATACATGAAAACTAAGTAATTTGCTCTTCAATGATTTTTGGGTAAAAATCAAGATGGAAATTAATAAATTATTTAAAATGAATGATAACAGTGACAGAGTGATCAAAATTTCTGGGAAACAGCAAAAGTAGTGCTAAGACTAAGGTTCATAGCATTAAATGCCTACATCAAAAAGGCTGAAAGAGCACAAATTCACAATCTATATTGTCACAACTCAAGAAACACTAGAAACAAGAACAAACTAAACCCAAAGCCATCAGAAAGAAAGAAATAGGAAGGATCAGAGCAGAACTAAATGAAATTACAACAAAAAATACAAAAGGTAAGTGAAATAAAAAGCTGGTTTTTTGAAAAGATAAACAAAATTAATAGACCATTAGTGAGATTAACCAAGAAAATAAGAGAGAATATCCAAACAAGCTTAATTAGGAATGAAGCAGGAGGTATTACAACCAATACCAGAGAAATCCAAAAAATTATTCAAGGCTACTATGATCACTGTTACACACACAACTAAAAAATTTAGAGGAAATAGATAAATTTCTGGAAGCATAAAACCCTTCTAGATTAAATCAGGAAGAAGTAGAAACCCTGAACAGACCAGTAACAGTGGGATTGAATTAGAAGTTAAAGAAATTACCACCAACAACAAAATATCCAGGTCCAGAAGAATTCAGAGCTGAATTATACCACACACTCAGAGAATAATTAGTATCAATTATTCCCACTGAAATGATTCCCAAAAATAAAGAAAGAGAGAATTCTCCCTAAATCATTCTGTGAAGCCAGTATCTAGAAAATGATGTAACAACAACAACAAAACTACAGACTAATAAATGACATAACCAAAAACAAAAAAATCTACAGACTAATATCCCTGATGAACAGAGATGCAAAAATTCTCAACAAAATACTAGCTGACTGACTCCAATAGCACCTCAAAAAGATAATACATCCTGGTCAAGTGAGTTTCATCCCAGGGATACAGGGATGTTTTAACATATGCAAGTCAATAAATGGAATACATCACATAAACAGATTTAAAAACAAAAGCCACATAATCATCTCAATGGATGCAGAAAAAATATTTGATAATATGCAGCAATGCTTTATAATAAATACCTTCAACAAATTAGGCATAGAAGGGACTTACCTCAAAGTAATAAAAGCCATATAGGACAAACTCACAGCCAACCTTATACTCAATGGGGAAATGCTGAAATTCCCTCTGAGAACTGGAACAAGACAAGGATGCCCACTTTTATCACTTCTATTCAATATAGAACTGGAAGTCCTAGTCAGAGCAATCAGGGGAAAAAAAAGAAATGAAAGACATCCAAGTTGAAAAAGTGAAGTCAAACTATCACTGTTCACTTATGATATGATTGTATACCTAGAAAACTCTAAAGATTTCTTCAAAAGACTCCTAGATTTGATAAACAAATTTAGTTACATCTCAGGTTACAAAATCAATATACACAAATCAGTAGCACAGCTATACAGCAATAACATCCAAGCTGAGAATCAAATTAAAAAATTCCATCACTTTTTTAACTGCAAAAAAATATAATACCTAAGAACATACTTAACCAGGAAGATAAAACGTCCGTACAAGGAGAACTATAAAACACTGTTGAGGCCAGGCACGGTGTCTCACACCTGTAATCCCAGAACATTGGGAGGCTGAGGCAGGTGGATCACGAGCTCAGGCGTTTGAGACCAGCCTGGTTAACATAGTGAAACTCTATCTCTACTAAAAAGAGTACAAAAAATTAGCTGAGCATGGAGGTGGGCACCTACAATCCCAGCTACTTGGGAGGCTGAGGCAGGAGAATCATTTGAATCTGGGAGGCGGAGGTTGCAGCGATCCAAGATCACACCACTGCACCTCAGCCTGGGCAATAAGAACAAAACTCCATCTCAAAAAAAAAAGAAATGAAAAGTAGATCTACCTTTCAATACAGCAATGCCATTACTGTGTATCTATCCCCCCACCAAAAAAAGAGTCATTATATGAAGAAAAAAAAAAAACATGCACACATATGTTTATTGCAATCCAATTAACAACTGTAAAGATATGGAACTAACCTAAGTCTACACTGACCAAAGAGTAGATAAATAAAATGAGGTGTATATATAAATCATTAAATACTACTCAGCCATGAGAAGGAACAAAATAATGTCTTTTGCGGCAACTTAAATGGAGCTGGAGGCCATTATTCCAAGTGAAATCACTCAGGAATGGAAAGCCAAACAACGTATGTTCTCGCTTATAAGTGAGAGCTAAGCTGTGAGTACGGAAAGGTATATAAAGTAATATAATGGGCTTTAGAGACTCAGAAAGGAGAGGGTAGGAATGGGGTGTGGGATAAATACTACCTATTGGGTTCAACATGCACTACTTGGGTGATGGTTGCAATAAAATCTCAGAATTAACTAATATACAATTAATACATATAACCAAAAACCACTTGTACCCCGAAAACTATTGAAATAAGAAATATTTTACAAAACATATATCTGCTAAAAGATACATAGAACACATATAAATAACTCTTAAAACTCGATAAATAATAAAACAAAGTAATTAAAAAGTTGGATAAGACATGTCACCAAAGAAGATACAGATGGTCAGTAAATACATGAAAAGATGCTTAATATTATTAGTTATTAGGGAAAGGCAATCTAAAACCAGAATGAAGTACTATGCACATATTAGAAAGGCTGAAATTAAAGAGACAGGTCATATCAAATGTTGGCAAGAATATAAAGCAACCAGAACTCTCCATCGCTGCTGGTGGAAATAAAATGGTAAAATCAGTTTGGAAAACAGTTTGATAGTTTCCTAAAAAGTTAAACATCCACTTACCCTGTGATCTAGCCAATTTACTTCTAGGTATTTAGCCAAGAGAAATGAAAACACATATCCATTCAAAGATTTTACACAAATGTTCATCGTAATTTTATTTGCAATGACCTCAAATTGGAAACAATTTAAATGTCCATCAACAGAGAATGAATAAAAAAATTGTAGCATATCTATACAATGAGGTATTTCTCCGCACTATGAAGGAATGAACCATTGGTACATGAAGAGTAAATGAATCTCAAAATAAAAATAATGATGCTGAGTGAAAGATGCTAGTGAAACAAGTATACAGACTGTGGTTCCATTTATATGAAACTCTATAACATGCAAGCAAAGCTCTATTAACAGAAAACAGATGAATGGTTACCTGGCTATAGGAGACTGGGGAGAAGTATAAGACAATTACAAAGGAACATGATAAAACTGTTGCGGCAATTGATCTATTATTATCTTGATTGTAGTAATGGTTTCATGAATGTTTACATGTCAAAACTTATCAACTGTACACTTTAAATAGGTAGAATTTATAGTACATCAATTATACATTACTAAAGCTGTTTAAGAGAAAAAAAAAACAAGGTAAGCAGATGTTAAAGTCGTACCTGAAGCTTTCAGTAGTCTCACCAATAATCTAGACTGGAGGGATCCCATGTGACTTTTAGATATATTAGTGGAACTGGAGATTGGGCAGCGAAGTGTGGGGTAGAGAAGAGCAAGGTCACTGGTGAGGGATTCACCCTCGGGCATGTGCCCACAGACCTAATTGAGAACAGGCACTCCTGTTTTTGAGCCTGAATGTTGCATTTTCCAAGACCTCTCTGGCTTACCACGCCCCCCATTCTGTGCCCACATAAACCTGAGACCTTAGCAGGCACACACACAAGCAGCTGAACATCAAGGCCAGACGACCAGCCGACAAGCAGACTAGCAACGGCAGAACGATGTGGCAGAGAAATAGAGAAGAGGAGGGACCTCTCTAGATGCTTAGGATAGTTCAGCGGAGAGGTGGGGTGGTGGGGAGCTGGCGGCGGTCAGAGCAGAGTCCTGCCTCTGGGCAGCCCGACTGCAGGGGAAGACCACCTTCCCAGTCTATCCCTCCTTCTGCTACCTATCCATCTCGCTGAGAGCCACCTGCACCACTCAATAAAACCTTGCATTCACTCTTGAGCCCCAGAGGCGAAGGTTGCAGTGAGCCAAGACGGCGCCACTGCACTCCAGCTTGGGCTACAGAGTGAGGCTCCGTCTCTAAAAAACAAAAACAAAACGAAAGAAAACAACAACAACAACAACAACAACAACAAAAAAACCTTGCATTCAATCCTTCACGCTCACGTGTGATCCGATTCTTTTGGGACACTGGGCAAGAACTCAGGATACATAAGACTGTCACACTGGCCTTCTGCCCTTGAGATAAGGCAGAGGGCTTATTGGGCTAACTAACACACAAGCCGCCTGCAGATGGCAAAGCTGACAGAGCTTAGTAACACTGTGGTTGTAGGTACCCAGCCCTAGACGCTGCCATGGGGCTGAGAGTCCAAAACGCTCTGCCCTGGCCTCTGCACCTGCCTGGCCTCTGCACCTGCCCATCTGCCTTAGGGGTTTGAGCTGCCGGGTGACCAAACAGGTGAGCCACACCCCTGTCACACATCCTGCCAGGGGAATCAGAGAACTCTCCCATTTTATTAGCTTATGTATTATAAACATATGATATATTTTCTAAAAGCATTTCTGGATGCATATCTATATTTAGTCTGGTCTTGATTGAACTAATTTACACTCTTAGAGTGTACAAGTGTTTCCTTTCCTCCACGACTTCATCAACATCGGTAATTTTTTGACTTTTTAAGAACAGCCACTCTGGTGTGAGATGGTATCTCATTGTGGTTTTGATTTACATTTTTCTTTTTTTAATTAATTAACTTTTTTATTATACTTCAAGTTCTGGGACACATGTGAAGAACATGCCGGTTTGTTACGTAGGTATATACGTGCTGTGATGGTTTGCTGCACCCATCAACCCATCATCTACATCTAATGATCAGTTATGTTGAGCTTTTTTTCATGTGATTGTTGGTTGCATGTATGACTTCCTTTGAAAAGTGTCTGTTCATGACCTTTGCTCACTTTTTAATGTTTTTTTTCTTGAAAATGTGTTTTAGTTCCTTGTAGATGCTAGATATTAGACCTTTGTCAGATGCATAGTTTGCAAAAATTTTCTCCCATTCTTTAGTATGTTTGTTTACTCTGTTAATATTTTATTTTGCTATGCAGAAACTCTTAAGTTTACTTAGATACTGTTTGTCATTTTTATTTTCTTTTGTTGCAGTTGCTTTTGGTGTTTTTATCATGAAATCTTTACAAGTTCCTATGCACAAAATGGTATTGCCTAGGTTGTCTTCCACGGTTTTTATAGTGTTGAGTTTTACATTTAAGTCTTTAGTCCATCTTGAGTTAATTTTTGTATATTGTGTAA